>NC_000021.9:6630181-6739085 GCF_000001405.40 Homo sapiens | reverse complement strand
GATCTTACTTTATCTCCTGGGACAGAGTACACTGGTGGAATCACAGCTCACTGTAACCTCAAATTTCGGAAGTCAAGCAGTCATGCCACCTATGTCTCCTGAGTAAATATGACCACAGTTGTGCACATTACCCCTCCTGTATAGTTTCTTTAAAAAAATTTGTACAAACAGTATGTTGCTGTGTTGCCTCGGCTGGTCTCAAACTCCTGGTCTCAGGCAATCCGACTGCTTCAGTCTGAAAGTGCTGGCACAAGCTACCATACCTGGAATTGTTTCTCTTTTAAGAAAAAATAGCTTTAAATCATTAATAGTAAAATAAAACAAAGAAAGGTATTGCGTAACGATAAAGGGTTCAATTCAACAAGAAGACTTAACTATCGTAAATGTAGATGCACCCAACTTTGGGGAACATAGAGTTATACAACAATTACTGCTAGAACTACAATAAGCCTCAAGTAGACACACAATAATAGTAGGGGAATGCAACTCCCCACTAAGTGTTTGACAGATTATCTAGGCAGAAACTTAACAAAGAAATTCTGGAGTTTGATTCGACACTTGATCAATTGAAACTAATAGACATTTATAGTATATGCAACACATCATCTAAAGAAAGTAAATTCTTCTCATCTGCTCACAGAATATGACAGGCCACAATGGAACAAAGATAAAAATCAATACCAAGAAAATCTCACAAAATCACAGAATGATATTGAAATTAAACAACTTGCTCCTGAATGAATTTTGGATAAACAAAAAAATTAAGGCAGAAAATTAAAAAGATTTTGAAATAGAAGAGACACAATATAACAAAATGTCTGGGTTGTAGGAAGAGCTCTGTTAAGAGGAAAGTTGAGAGTGCTAAATACCTGCATCAAGAAGTTAGAATGATCTCAAACTAACAATTTAACATCACACTTAGAGAAACTAGAAAAATAAAAACTAACTTACCCCAAAGCTAGCAGAATGGCAAAAATATTCATAACCTATGAACCTGACAAAATCTAATACTCAGAATCTATAAGAAACTTAAAGAATTCACAAGGAAAAAATTACCCCATGAAAAAGTGGGCAATAACAGACACTCTTCAAAAGAACACATACAAGTGGCCAAATAACATGAAAAAAGCTTATCATCACTAACCATCAAGGAAATGTAAATAAAAACCACAATAAGACACCATTGTACACCAGTTAGAATGGTTTTTGTTAAAAAGTAAAATGATAATAGATGTTGATGGGGTTTTAGAGGGAAAAAACCACTTATACACTGTTAATAGGAATGTAAATTAGTTCAGCCACTGTGGAGAACAGCTTGGAGATTTTCCAAATAACTGAGAGTTAAACTGTGATTCAACCCAGCAATTTCACCGCTGGGTATATACCCAAAAGAGAATAAACTATTCTACCAAAATAGCACATGCACTTGTTGGTTCATCACTACACTATTCATAAGAGGAAGGACCTGAATCAACCTACGTGCCTATTCATGGTAATTTTTTATTTTTTTGAGATGACGTCTCACTCTGTTGCCCAGGCTGGAGTGCAGTGGCACGATCTCAGCTCACTACAATCTCCACCTCCCAGGTTCAAGCAATTCTCCTTCCTCAGCCACCCGAGTAGCTGGGACTATAGGCGCATGCCACCAAGCCTGGCTAACTTTTGTATTTCCAGTACATACGGGGTTTCATTACGTTGTCCAGGATGGTCTCGATCTCCTGACCTCATGATCCACCCGCCTTGGCCTCCCACAGCACTGGGATTACAGGCATCAGCCACCATGTCCAGCCTATTGATGGTAAATTGAATTTAAAAAGTGTCACATGTACAGCAATACTACTTAGCAAAAACAAACAAAAAAAACCTCCTTTGCAGCAACGTTAACACAACTAAAGGCCATTATACAAAGCAAATTAATGCAGAAATGGAAAATGAAAATACTGCATATTCTCACTTATAAATGGAAATTAACACTGGGTACACATGGACAGAAAAACAAAAATAATAGACAACTCTTAGAGGGTGGAGAGAGGGAGGGACCAAGAACTGAAAAACTGTCTACTTAGTACTATGCTCACTACCTGATTGATGGAATTACTCATACTTCAAACCTCAGCATTATACAAAATACCCATGTAAAAAACCTGTGTAGGTACCTCCTAAATCTAAAATAAATTTGAAATTCTAAAAAGAGGTCTTACTCTCTCACCCAGACAGGAATACAATACGATGATTATAGCTCAATGCAGCCTCAAGTTCCTGGGGAACTCAAGGAATAATCTTACGTCAGCCTCCAACTTCCTGAGACTACAGGAACATTCCACAATGCCTGAGTAATCTGTGAAAATATTTTTTACCAATAGCTTGTCACAATATTGCCCGGGGTAGTGTCGAACTCCTGGATTTAAGTAATTGACAGGGTTTGGCTCTGTGTCCCCAATCAAATCTCATCTTAAATTGTAATAATCCCCACATGTCCTGGGAGGGACCCTGTGGGAGGTAATATTTTTATCAAAATATCAATGACATTTTTTCACAGAAATAGAAAAAATATTTTAAATTTATGTGGATCCACAAAAAACTCTGAATAGACAAATAACTTTGAGCAAAATAAGCAAAGCTAAAGGCATCACTTTATCAAACTTCAAAACTTGCTACAAAGCTATAGTAACCAAAAGAGCACTGTACTGGCATAAAAACAAACACATAGACTAATGTGCCCAAGAAGCCCAGAAGTTAGTTTATGCACCTAAAGCCAACTGATTGTCAACAAAATTGCCAAGAACACACTTTAGGGAAAAGCTAATTTCTTCAATAAATGATGCAGGGCCATTTAAATATTTAAATTCAGAAAAATTATACTAGACCCCTGTGCCTTGCCATATATGAAAATCAATTCAAACTAAAGACTTAAATGTAATGCTATCAATTATGAAACTATTAGAGAAAAACTAAAAAATGCTTTATAACATTCGACGGGGAAAGGATTATTAAAATAACATGTCAAAACATAGGCAACAAAATCAAAAATAAGCAAACAACATTATGTCAAACTAAAATGCTTTTCCATATTAAAAAAACTAAAAGATTGAAGAGACAGCTTAGGCAATAAAAGAAAATGCTTTCAGGCTATACATATGACAAAAGGCTAATATTCAGAATAAATAAGAAACTTTAAAATCTCAAAATAAAATACACTTATAATCTAATTAAAAAAATGCAAAAGATCTTAATAGATGTTTGTCAAAAAGTGATACAAAAATGGCTAACTGGAACATAAAAATATGTTCTACATTACTAATCACTAAGGAAATGAAAATCCAAACCACAATGAGGTACCGCCTCACTCCCATTTAGAATGGCTATAATAAAAATAAATAAATAAATAAAACAAGTACTAATGAGGATATAAAATGAGTGAATGTATACATTGTTGGTGGAATTGTAAATTAGTATGGCCACTATAGAAAATACTATGGAGGTTTCTGAAAGAAATTAAAAATAGATGTATTACATGATCCAGCAATTTTACTCCTGCATGTATATACAAAAGAAAGGATATCACTGTGTCAAAAAGATATTTGCATTTCCATGTTAGTTACAGAACTAGTTATAATAGCTTATATATGGAATCAATTCAAATGTACAGCAACAGATAAATGGATAAGGAAAATGTACTATATATGCACAGTGAAATACTATTCAGCTATAAGAAAGGATAAAATTCTGTCAGTTAAAAGAGCATGGATGAACCTTGAGCATACCATGTTAAGTAAAATAAGCCACATAGAGAAACACAAATACTTTATGATCTTATTATCTCACTCATTTGAGGAACCTGAAAAAAGGGTTGATATAAGCAAAGAGTACAACAGGGGTTCCCAGAGACTGAAGCAGGGAGATGGGAAAAGGCAGCTTCAAAAGTATTGTGTTACAATTAGATAGGAGAAATAAGTTTTTGTTTTTTGTTACACAGCAGAATAATAATAATTAATGAAAAGTTATCTCAAATTACAAAATAGCTAAAAGAGACCAGTTGTGGTGGCACATTCCTGCCATCCATACATTTTGGGAGAATGAGGTAGGAGAATCACTTGATGTCAGAAGTTCAAGATGAGCCTGGACAACATAGTGTGACCCTGTCTCTATGAAAAATTAAAACATTATCCAGGCATGGAGGCAGGTTCCTGTAGTCTCAGCTAATTGGGAAGCTGAGGTTAGAAGATTGTTTGAGGTTACAGTGAGCTAGGATTGCACCACTGCACTCCAATCTGTGTGTTAGAGCAAGATCCTGTCTCTAAAAAAAGTTAATATATAAAGATATAAAAAAATAGCTAGAGAAGAAGCTTTTGAATGTTCTCACCACAAAAATAACAAATGTATGAGGCAATAATTACACTAAGTACTCTGATTTTTATTGCTATACAACATATATACATAATTGTTTCCCCAAAATTTGTACAATTACATGTGTCAATTTTAAAATATGAAGACTATAATGTAAAATCTATAGCTGTAAAATTCCTAGCACAATACAGAAGGGTGAAGCTTCATGACAATTGGTCTCGGCAATAATTTGGGGGATGTAACATCAACGAATCAGACAACAAAAGCAAGGGAATACACATGGTACTAAATCAGTGTGTGAAAAATATCCCAAACAGGCAAAGCAGAACATGGAATAGATATATGCACATTTATGTACACTGTAGCATTACTCACAAACATACTACCTGGAAGCAAATGTACCTTTAAGGATGAGTAGATTCAACAAACAGGGCACGTATATTCACTGGATAGCATTCAGCCTTAAAAATAAGGAAATCTTGAAAAGTACTACAATAAGGACAAATCTCGAAAACATTCTGTTAAGTAAAACAAGACAGTCAAAAAGGAAAACTGTATAATTACACCTATGTAAAATATTTAGTCAAACTCAAAGAAACCAAGTGTTGTAGTCTCAGCAGTGCACCAAGATGTAACAGTCTCTCATAGTCTGAGATAGCATCGAAAGTTCTTTGTTCTACTTCTAGGGAGATTAAGGAGCGTGAACACAAAGGTGAGGTTAGAGTGAAAGTTTGATAAGCAAGAGAAGAAAGCTCTTTGCCAGCAGAGATAGTTTCTGAATGGGGTGACCTCTGTGAGGCTGGGGCCCAAGGTTTTTATGGACTGGGAAAGGAAGAGAAGGAAATGTGCCTAGTTAACAGGCTGTCTTGAAAAAAGTGTGGCTCAGCTTGGCCCAGGACTTTGACCCGGGACCAATCAGGAGCTGAAGGGATGATTCATAGATGCTATTTAGATTGGCCCAGGACTTATCAGAAGCTAAAGTGAAAGCTTGGCGCAGGAGCTTGTCCCGGGAGCAATCAGGGGCTGAAGTAATTATTCACAGAGGTCTGACTTACAGTCCAAATAAAGGAGAGTGTCGACCGGAATGCACCAGAGCCCACTGTGCTTATGCCCACAAAAGGAGAAGAAACATTTTCCTGGGAGCCCACTGACTGCACAAAGTACAAAGGCGTTTCTTTTTTTCTTTTTCTTTTCTTTCTTTCTTTCATTTTTGTTTTTGAGATGTACTTTCTTATTATTTATTAATTTATTTATTTTGAGACGTAGTTTTGCTCTTGTTGCCCAGGCTGGAGTGCAATGGTGCGATCTCGGCCCACAGCAAACTCCGCCACCTGGGTTTAAGTGATTCTCCTGCCTCAGCCTCCCAAGTAGCTGGGATTACAGGCATGAGGCACCATGCCCGGCTAATTTTGTATTTTTCTCCATGTTGGTCATGCTGGTCTCGAACTCCCGACCTCAGGTGATCCGCCCACTTCTGCCTCCCAAATTGCTGGAATTACGGGCATGAGCCACTGTGCCTGGACAAACAAAGGCATTTCTATGCCAGGTCGGTCTTGTTCCCTTATCTCAGTGAGCTGGAGGTTTGTACAAGTTTTTATCCAAATATGCCAGAGGTTTTTCTGTCTGTGCAGCCATGGGCAGGTCTCCAAGCACAACACCATGTGCTAGTTACCTTGTTAGTGTCTGCAGCTTGATTTTTTCCAGGATTCCTTTTATATTATGCAGGGATGAGACACTGACCCAAGGGCCAGGGACTTTCCAGGGACCCTTCTCTTGCTATCTAACTAAAGCAAGCTAACTAACTTGTTTCAGAATTAATGAGTATTCACTTTTACTTTTGTAAGACAAAAATTATCTAAAACCTATTGCAAAAAAAAATAGAACTATACTTACCACTTCTAAACCATATACTTAAAATGTTAGAAATGAAAATGGCATGTTTTTAACTACAATTAGAAATTTAGGACTACCTAAAAGGCACGGTTACAAAATCTTCAAACATCCCCTTCAAATAACAAAGGGTTCTTCTCACTTAATTATTTAGATTTAAACTATAAGTTGATTGTAAATTTAAGATTATTTCCCTGACTACTCACCAAGATAGAATAAAATAATCACTAGAAACCAAGAAAAGAGGGAAATTTATAGCACTAATGTCCACATCAAAAAGCTAGAAAGGGCCGGTCATGGTGGCTCATGCCTGTAATTCCAGCACTTTGGGAGGCTGGGGTAGGCAGATCACTTGAGACCAGGTGTTCAGGACCAGCCTGGCCAACAGCAAAACCATATCTCTACAAAAAAATACAAAAATTAGCTAGGTGTGGTGATTCACATCTGTAATCCCAGCTACTCAGGAGGCTGAGACAGCAGAAGTGACTTAAAACCGAGAAGTGGAGGTTGCAGTGAGCCGAGATTATGCCACTGTACTCCAGCCTGGGTGACAGAGTGAAACTCTCCCACAAGAAAAAAAAAAATTAGAAAGATCTAAAGTTAACAGCCTAACATCTTGGTTAAAAGAACAAGAAAACCAAGTGAAAACAAACCTGAAAGCTAGCAGAAGATAAGAAATAGCCAAGATCAGAGTAGAGCTGAAGGAGATAGAGACACTGAGAACTCTTCCAAAAAAAAAAAAAAAAAACTCAACCAATCCAGGAGCTGTTTTTATGAAAAAAAAAAAAATTTATAAACTAGATGGAACACTAGTTAGGCAAATAAATAAGAAAAGAAAGAACCAAACACAAATAGAAATAATAAGGGAGATATCATCACTGATCCCATGGAAATAAGAACAACGATCAGAGAATACTATAAACACCTCTATGCTCATAAACCAGAAAATCTAGAAGAAATGGACAATTTCCTTGCAAAATAAACTCTCTACAAGACTGAACCCTGAATAGATCAATAATGTGTTCTGAAATTGAGACAGTAAGAACTAGCCTACCAAGCAAGCTGAATTTGACTTGAGGTAAAGAGGAGATAGTACATTTTCTCCTAAAACTATCCAAAAAAAATTGAAGACAAAGAAGTTCTGTCTAACTCATTCTATCAGGCCAGCATCATCCTGATACCAAAACCTAACATAGATACAACAACAACAACAACAACACATCATGCCAATGTCTTTGATGAACACTGTGCAAACATCCTCAATAAAATACTGGCAAACCAAACCCAGCAGCACATTAAAAAGTGCATCCACCACAATGGAATTGGCTTTGTCTCCAGGATGCAAGGTTGATTCAACATATGCAAATCAACAAATGTGACTCATCACATAAAGAAAACTAAATAAAAAAACCACATGATTACCTCAATAGATGCAGAAAAAGCACCCAATAAAATTCAACATTCCTTCACGTTTAAAATTCTCAATAAATTAGGAACTGAAGAAACATACCTCAAAATAAGAAGAGCCATATACAACAAACCCACAGCCAATATCATACTGAATATGCAAAAGCTGGAAACATTCCCCCTGAAAACCGGCACAAGAAAAGTATGCTCTCTCTCACCACTCGCATTACAACTCCCATTCGGAAAACTTGTCCAGGAAAATCAGGCCAGAGGAAGAAATAAACAGTATTCAAATAGAAAGAGAGAAAGTCAAATTATCTTTGTTTACAGATGACCTGACCCTATATCTAGAAAGCCTCTTCGTCTCAGCCCCAAAGCTTCTTAAGGTGATAAGCAGCAGTAGCAAAATCTCAGGATATAAAATCAATCTGCAAAAGTAGCTAGCATTCCCATACACAAGCAACAGGCAAGCAGGGAGACAAATCATGAATGAACTTTCATTCACATTTGCTATAAAGAGAAAAAAATACCAAGGAATACAGCTAAGAAGGAAAGTGAAGGATATCTTCAAGGAGAACTACAAACAACTACTCAGAGGAATCAGAGTGGACACAAAACAAATGGAGAAACATTCCATGCTCACGGAGAGAAAGAATCAGTACCACGAATATGAGCATATTGCCCTAAGTAATTTATAGATTCAATGCTGTTCCCATTGAACTACTGACATTCTTCAGATAATTAGAAAAAAAAAACTTTTTAAAATTAAAATGGAACCAAAAAAGAGCCCAAATAGCCAAGCCAACCTTAAGAAAAAAAAAAAAAAAAGCTGAAAGGGTCATTGCCTAACTTCAAACTGTACTAGAAGAGTACAGTAACAAAAACAGCATGGTACTGGTATAGAAACAGACACATAGACAAATGAAACAAAATAGAGAGCATAGAAATAAAGCCAAAAACCTACAACAAACTGATCTTTGACAAAGTCAACAAAAACAAGGAATTAGGGAAAAGTCTCCCTATTCAATAAATAGTGCTAGGATAACTGGCTAGTCATGTGCAGAGAATTAAGACTGGAACCCTTCCTAACACCATAGACAAAAATTGACTCAAGATGGATTAAAGACTTGAATGTAAAACCCAAAACTATAAAAACCTTAGAAGAAAAAATCTAGAAAATACCATTCAGGATATAGTCATGAGGAAAGATTTGATGACAAAAAGACCAAAAGAAATAGCAACAAAAGCAAAAATTGACTAATGGGGTCTAATTAAACTAAAGAGATTCCACAGAGCCAAAGAAGCTATCATCAGAGCAGAGAAGCTAGAGAATGGGAGAAAAATTTTGCAACCTATTCATCTGACAAATATCTAATACCCAGAATCTATGAGGGACTTAAAATTTACAAGAGAAAAACAAACAACCCCATTAAAAAGTGGTCAAAGGACATGAACAGACATATCTCAAAAGAAGACATACATGTGCCCAACAAACATGGAAAGCTCAACATCACTGATAACTGGATAAATACACATCAAAACAACAATGAGATACCATCTCACACCAATTACAATGTCTATTAATAAAAAGTAAAAAAGAAATAAAAACAGATGCTGGTGAGGTTGTGGAGAAAAGGGAACACTTTTACACTGTTGGTGGGATTGTAAATTATTTCAAGCATTGTGGAAGAGAGTGTGGAGATTCCTCAAAGACCTAGAAGCAGAAATACCATTTGACCCAGCAATACTATTACTGGGCATACACCCAAAGGAATATAAATCTATTTTAAATAAACATGTATACATATGTTCATTGCAGCAATATTTACAATAGCAACGTCATGTAATCAATCTACATGCCCATCAATGATATACTGGATAAAGAAAATGTGGTACACATACACCATGGAACACTATGAAGCCATAAAATGTAATGAGATGATGTCCTTTGCAGGGACATGGTTGGAATTTGAAGCCATTACTCCCAGCAAACTAATGCAGGAACAGAAAACCAAACACCACCTATTATTATTCTAACTTATTAGCAGAAGCAGATCAATGAGAACACATGGACACATCAGGAAGAACAACACACACTGGACACCTGTTTCATGGCATGGGGGAGGGGAAGGAGAGCAGCAGGAAGAATAGCTGCGGATGCTGGGCTTAGTACCTGGGTGATGAGATGATCTGTGCAGTAAAGCACAATGGCACACGTTTATCTATGTAAGAGACCTGCATATCCTGCACATGGACCCCTAAACTTAAAATAAAAGTTGAAAAAAAAGCTTATCACATATGGACCACTGAACTTAAAATAAAACTTGAAAAAACATGAGTATGAGGTGGATTCCCTAGGTTAGACCCAAACTGAAGATCCTGAAGCTCCTGCTGGGGGATTTGGGGCTGGGGGCACCCTGGGGAGCTGCTGCCAAGGCCATCCACCGTCCCTACAGGCCGCCTCTCTTCCCGGCCTGTGATGGAAAGGAGAAGGGGTATGTGAACAGCTGTGGAAGTCAGACTCTCGGGAACTGAATCAGGCCCCAGCCCATGCCCCCCAGCCCAGTCCAGCCAACGTGCCCGCTGTCTTCCCACCCAGCCAGCCGAGCCCTCAGGATTGTTAGATGGAACCAGGCTCCATCACCACCCAGGCATGGAGGGAAGATGCCCTGGTCCTTAGCAAGCAAGGCCTGGTTTCCAAAGTGCTCTCCGAAGAGGCCTCATGTTTGTGACATCTTAGAAGGTACCTTTCTGCTGTTCTTGCACCCAGCATGTTGGCAAGTCAAGTTCCCCCACTGAGTTCTCCACACATAAGGAGGGAGTCAACACCATTGCTAAGTCGGATCAGCTCAAGTGTCTCCAGTATCAGTTTTATCAGATCCCAGGGACCTGCCTGCTCCCAGAGGTGACAGAGAAAAATCAAGGAACGATCTGTATGGTCACTGACATGGATGAAACCCTTGTGCATAGCTCCATTAAGCCAATCAGCAATGCTGACTGCCTAGTGACTGTAAAGATTGAGGGGACCATGAGGCCTTATATGGATGAGTTCCTGAGATGACTGGAGGAACTGTTTAAATGTGTTTTCTTCATTGCTCTCTTCATTCCAGACTGAACAAGTATGCAGATCCTGTTGAGAGGTGACAGCGTGCTGGCAGTCCTCACAACCCTTGCTCACTCTCCGGGCCTCCTCTGCCTGGGCTCCAACTTTGGCGGCACTTTAGGAGCCCTTCAGCCTGTCGCTGCACTGTGGGAGCCCCTTTCTGGGCTGGCCAAGGTCGGAGCCGGCTCCCTCAGCTTGCGACGAGGTGTGGAGGGAGAGGTGCGTGTGGGAACCAGGGCGGCGTGCAGTGCTTGAAGGCCAGCGCGAGCTCGGCGGACCCCACACTCGGAGCCGCCGGCTGGCCCCACCGGCCCCAGGCAGTGAGGGGCTTAACACCTCGGCCAGCAGCTGCTGTGCTCAATTTGTCGCTGGGCCTTAGCTGCCATCCCACAGGGCAGGGCTTGGGTCCTGCAGCCCGCCATGCCTGAGCCTCCCCCCCATCGGTGGGCTCCTGTGTGCCCAAGCCTCCTGGATGAGTGTCGCCCCCTGCTCCACGGCACCCAGTCCCATCAACCACCCAAGGGCTGAGAAGTGCGGGTGCACAGTGCCAGACTGGCAGGCAGCTACACCTGCAGACCCTGTGGGGGATCCACTGGGTGAAGCCAGCTGGGCTCCTGAGTCTGGTAGGGACGTGGAGAAACTTTGTGTCTAGCTCAGGGATTGTAAATACACCAATCGGCACTCTGTATCTAGCTCAAGGTTTGTAAACATGCCAATCAGCACCCTGTGTCTAGCTCAGGGTTTGTGAATGCACCAATCAACACTCTGTATCTAGCTACACTGGTGGGGATGTGGAGAACCTTTGTGTCTAGCTCAGGGATTGTAAACACACCAATCAGCGCCCTGTGAAAAAAGACCACTCGGCTCTAACAATCAGCAAGATGTGGGTGGGGCCAGATAAGGGAATAAAAGTAGGCTGCCCCAGCCAGCAGTGGCAACCCACTCGGGTCCCCTTCCACACTGTGGAAGCTTTGTTCTTTTGCTCTTTGCAATAAATATTGCTGCTGCTCACTCTTTGGGTCCACAATGCCTTTATGAGCTGTAACACTCACTGTGAAGGTCCACAACTTCACTCCTGAAGCCAGCGAGACCACGAACCCACCTGGAGGAATGAACAACTCCAGATGTGCCACCTTAAGAGCTGTAACACTCACCGCGAACGTCTGCAGCTTCACTCCTGAGCCAGCGAGACCACGAGCCCACCAGAGGGAAGAAACTCTCAACACATCCGAATGTCAGAAGGAACAAACTCCAGACATGCCACCTTTAAGAACTGTAACACTCACCGTGAGGGTCTGTGGCTTCATTCTTGAAGTCAGTGAGAACAAGAACCCACCAATTCCAGACACATTGTGATGGGTGTGCTGGACCAGTGTGAGGTGTTCTGGGGTTGCCTAGCCCATGAGTCACGTTTGTTCCACCAGGGCTGCTATGTCAATGACCTCAGCCATCTGGGGAGGGACCTGAGGAAAACTCTCATCCTGGACAACTCGCCTGCTTCTTACGTCTTCCACACAGAGAATGCAGTGCCTGTGCAGTCCTGGTTTGATAACATTCCAGACAGCAGCTGCTGCACCTGATATCAGTCTTTGAGGACATGAGTGGAGCAGAGGGCATCTATACTAGCCTTGGGCAGCAGTGGGCCCTTAGCCTTTCCTGCTTCCCAGCAATGGCCATCACAGTAGGGGATTTTCCCACACTGTGCCTTTATGATCAGCCTGAAAGAATGAAGCCTGGAACACCTACCCACATGGGCCTGGAAACAGTGAGAAGTGATTGAAAAGAGCTTTAGGACAGCTTAGATTCCCAGTGGGTGAATGCCAGACCAAGGATACCCAGAGCTACCTGCCATCAAGTTTTTGGGTTCCCAAGATTGGGTGTGAGAGAAAGAAAGAGAGCATGTGTGTTTTGTGATGAACTGTGGGCCCAATATATAGTGTTTCAGTAGGGGAGAAGCTGAAGGACAGAGACTCTTCCCAAGTTAGCTTTGTCTCCTCTCCTGTCACCCTATGAGACCCTGAGTTCCATAGGGATGAAGACTGTTGAAGGCTCCATTGCAAACCTGGTCTTTCTTCAGTGCTGCAAGGCCTATGCCAAGGAGAAAGGAAAAGTATGTCTTTGGGTGTTCCAGACACACATCTTTCTGAAATATTTCTCCAGCCAGTTGTTGCAGACAAAAGATGATATTTCTGGGAAGATGGGGACTTATGTCCAGACCAGTACCCAAACCATCAGGTCTTGTGGCCTAAAGGCTATGCTTACTTAAGTCCAGCCAAGTGCCTGGGATGGATCCTTTCTGCATCTCCTCAAGACTCACCACTTAGGCATAGCCTCAAACCTGTGGGGAAGGAAGTTGTCTCCCCACCCTGCAAGAGGACAAATAACTGATTTCTCTTCTTTCGACTCTGTTTTAAAATTCTCTTAAAAAAAAAAAAAGCCTATCTGAAACTGAAAAGAAAAAAACAAAAAAACAAGGAAAAAGATGTCATACTTACATAAGTGAAAAACATACAGATATATCTATAAGCAACAAACACAGCTAATTCACACATATATTAAACATCACATTGAGATAAAGTGTACCGAGCTAAAAATTATCTTTCAACTGATGATATCAAGCTTTAAAATAAAAATACATTTAACTGATCTGAGAAAACATAACTCCCAAGAAAAGAAACACAATAACACGGACTTGAAAATAAGAAGAGAGATTTTCGTGCATAAAATCCTGAATACAACATAGATTTACAATGGAAAATAACCGTTTTTTTTTTTATTTTTTTTTTTGAGACAGAGTCTTGCCCTGTTGCCCAGGCTGGAGTGCAGTGGCGCGATCTCGGCTCACTGCAAACTCTGTCCACTGAGTTCACGCCATTCTCCTGCCTCAGCCTCCTGAGTAGCTGGGGATACAGGCGCCTGCCACTATGCCCGGCTAATTTTTTGTATATTTAGTAGAGACGGGGTTTCACCATGTTAGTCAGGGTTGTCTCGATCTCCTGACCTCGTGATCCACCCGCCTTGGCCTCCCAAGGTGCTGGGAATACAGGCATGAGCCACCACAACCGGCCGAAAAATAATTCTTTAGATATCTACAGCATTCAACTGTGTGCACTCATGAAAAGCAGACAATTTAAGTCATTAGAATTTAATAAATTGCAGTAAAATTATACAGAAAATACATTACAATCATTAATAACAGGCTCTAATGAGAGGAATTTAATAAATAATCATTAAAAATACAGGATAATTTTATTATGTTCTCAATATGTTGCTGCACTTCTTACCACAAAACATAATAAAATTATATGACTATAATATAGATTTCAAGAGCTAAAAAAGCCTTATATTTCCAAATAAAAGAACAACATAAATTTTGCAAAATATGACGAGCATTACTGCAGTATAAAGTAAATATCTGGAATTAAAATATACCATCATTTAGATACAGACTAAAAAAAAGAATATAAATGTTAATGATTCCTTTCTGCCTGCAGTGAGCTTAAAATTACAACCAAAAATTTTAATAAATATGTAGCACCTACAAGACATTTTATTAATAGCTTACATAATGTGGAAATTTGAGCAATTTATTTTAGAATTTTTGAATCTAAAAATCACCAGCTTGACATTCATTTGAGAAAGTGAAACATAAAGGAGAGTAACATAAGCAAGACGACAGAATGGGAGGTTCGGCATGCACATCCCCCACAACATAATGCAGCTGCCACGGGAAACATAAGTGCATTCATGAAAGCCTTAGAATCCAGTTCAGAGTTTGTGACACCCAGCTGGAGGCAAAGACCAAGGAAGACATCTTTAGAGGGTAAGCACTTGACCAAGTGGCAAGCTTGCCAATCATGGTCCTCGGTTCAAAACAGAATACTACCACATCTTACTGTAAACTTGGCTATGACTCATTTGAACTTGGTCCTGCCACTGCAAAAATCTGTGAAAAACACAAAAGAATTCATACTCATCTGAGACTTAGGTGACAGGCCTGCAGAACTTGGTTCTCTCTATAGTCCCTGAATCAGGCAAAACACACCTTCTTTCCTTCTCCAGCCAAGGTCTGGAAGAAATCTTCACATTGATATGATGAAATGCTAACTAACAATATGAAAAATACTAAAGTATAAATGTCACTAAAAATGGTAAATACATACTGAAATTCAGAATACTCTAAATTGTTATCATCTTAAACTAGACTATTAAAATACAAGAGGTTTTACATAAGTCTCATGATAACCACTGGGGGAAAAAAAAACATAGTAAAGAAAAAGAGAAAGTAATTAAAGCATACACAAACAACAAAAATTACACATTGGATACAGTGGCTCCTGCTTATAATTCCAACACTTTTGGAGGCCAAGGTGGAAGAATCATAAGCTCCTTGGGTGTTGTGGTACATGTCCAAGTAGTCCAAGCTACTTGGGTGGCTAAGGGGGGAGGATTGCTTGAGCCCAGGAGATTGAGGCTACAGTGAGCTGTGATATGCCACTGAACTTCAGTCTGAGCAAGAAAGCATAACTTTGTCTCAACAAAAATGAACAATACCACAGGAAAGACAGAACCAGAAAAAAAAGAAGCAAACTTAAAATGGACAGAAAACTACAAATGTACAATAGTAACTGCTTACCTATCACTACCTTACAAATAAAAAGATTAAATTATCTACTAAACAGATACTTCTGTAGACTGAATGTCATCTCCAAAATTTAGGATAAAATGGCCAATGTGAAAGAATTAAGAGGTGGAACCTTTAAAAATTAATTAAGCTATAAGCACTCTGCCCTCATGAATGGATTAATGTTCTTATTATGGGAATGGGCTAATTTTAACAAGAATGGATCTGTTATATATTAAAAAAAAAAAAGCTGTCTCTCCCTCACATCTTTGGCCATGTTATTATCCAGCAACTAGACCTTCAACAGATACCAGTAACATGTTCTTTTACCTTCCCAGCCTCCAGAATCATGAGTCAAATAAAATTCTGTTCTTTATTAATTACCAGTCTGTGATATTCTGTTATAACAGCCAAAAGAGACTAAAGCAGACAGAGTGGATAAATGAAACTTTTAAACCTCGTAATATGCTGCTTACAAGAGACTCAATTATGAATTAAGAGCATAGGCTAAAAGTGAAAGGATAGAAAATGATATTCCATGCAAATAATAGCCAAAGGAGTTCAATGGTAGTTATGCTTAAATTAGACAAAATAGACTTTCTAGCAATGTCTCTCACAAGCATGAAATGAGTTTACCATACAATAATAATAGAGGTTAATTTGTCAAGTGAATATAGCTATATATATTTATGCACCCAAAAGGGAGGCTTCTAAATATAAAAAGCAAATATGGGCAGAACTGTAGGGAGAAGTAGAAAGAAATCCAATAATAGAAAACTTTAATGAAATGTATAATAAAGGACAAATAGTTAACAGCATTGTGAATTTGCAAGGGAAAGCTGTTCTCCTGTGTTGCATTTGAGAATGCAGCAAAGAAAGTGGGAACTGATAATTTTACCACAAGCCTGAGTTAGGCTGAAAAACAGGGTGGTCGATTAGAGGTTCCACTTGCCATATATTAAAAAAACACAGGAGAAAACCAGTCCTCCTCTGGAGTGTTAAAATAATTAAAGAGCAGAAAATTAGACTAAAGTGGCTCTAGTGTCCTGGGTTCATAGGTTAAAAAAAAAAAAACAAAAACTAAAACCTAACTCAAATACATTTCCTATAAAGCATTATCTTAGCCTGAAACAAAATGCACGTTTAACCAATGGCAAACATGCAATTAACCTCTGAATATGTAACCAGGACATTTCCATCTGGATAGTTCAAATAAGGTGACTACATAACTGGAACCAATTTTTGAATTTGGGCTGCTTTCTCATGCATCTTATGAAAGCCTTTCCTTTATGCCCCTCTGGTGGACCAGAAATCATGGCTGGGTGCTTTCCATTTCACCAATCACTGTTTGTTCAGATAAACTGGTTAACGTTTTAACATAGACTCCCGTTAATTTTTAACAAGAGAGACTGGGGACCCCACGGGCCGCAGCTCCTCCCACGCAAACACCCAGTGGCAGTTTTTCCCTGATGACCCACCAGGCCTCCCTGAACAATCTGGGAAATACTCATGGCTGTGGGCGCAGAGCAGGGCGCTGCCCAGGGACAGCACCGGATGGGCCAGGCCGGATGTGGGGGTCCTCGATGCTGGCCCAGCGGCCATCTTGCAGCCACAGGGGACTGAGGGCCAAGCTGCGGGAGACTCGGAGCTAACCGTGGGGGCCGGTCCTGCCGGTTTCACAGCCTGCTGTCCCCTCTCGGGATGCCGAACCCCGTATACTCACCATTTCCCAGCTTCCAGGATGTCCTGTCATCTTAACTGTGCGTCCCCAAGGACCTACAGATCACAGGGCAACAGGGGCTGTGAAAGAGTAGCCCGGGGCTCCCAAAGCGGAGGAGGCGAAAGAGGAGACGGATCCCAAGTTCCTGTGCCAGCGCCAGCAAGAGACAAAGACCCGCCAAACGCCAGAAGCCACGCCCTCCTCTCCTGTCCTCTCCAACTGCGCGCCTGATTGGGCTGTTCCCACATCAGTGTCAATGACTGGATAAAACTCCAGGACTCACCCACCCCCGCCTGACTCCTGCCCCTACCCCCACTCCCCCTCAGCCTTAGTGCATTTTTGTTAGTTTGTTTTACTTTAAGTTCTGGAATACATGTGCAGAACGTGCAGGTTTGTTACATAGGTTTACATGTGCCATGGTGGTTTGCTGCTTCTATCAACCTGACGTCTAGGATTTAAGCCCCATATGCATTAGGTATTTGTCCTAATTTTCTCCCTCCCCTTGACCTCAACACCCTAACAGGCCCCAGTGTGTGATGTTTTGTTCCCGGTGTCCATGTGTTCTCATTGTTCAACTCCCACATATGAGTGAGAACATATGGTGTTCTGTTTCCTGTTCCCGTGTTAGTTTGCTGAAGAGAATGGTTTCCAGTGTCATTCACGTCCCTGCAAAGGACATGAACTCATTCTTTTTATGGCTGAATATTATTTCATGGTGTATATGTGCCACATTTTCTTTTTCCAGTCTATCAATGATGGGCATTAGGTTGGTTCCAAGTCTTTGTTATTGTAAACAGTGCTGCAATAGATATATGAGTGCATGTGTCTTTATGCTAGAATGATTTATATTCCTTTGGGTATATAACCAGTAATGAGATTGCTGGGTCAAATGGTATTTCTGGTTCTAGATACTTAGGGAATCACCACACTGTCTTCCATAATGGTTGAAGTAATTTACACTCCCGCCCCCAGCAGTGTAAAAGCGTTTCTATTTCTCCATAGCCTCATCAGCATCTGTTGTTCCTGACATTTTAATAACTGCCATTCCAAATGGTGTGAGATGGTATCCCATTGTGGTTTTGATTTGCATTTCTCTAATCATCAGTGATGATGAGCTTTTTTCTTTTTCCTTTTTGTGTGTTTGTTGACCACATAAATGTCTTCTTCTTCTTCTTCTTCTTCTTCTTCTTCTTCTTCTTCTTCTTCTTCTTCTTCTTCTTCTTCTTCTTCCTCTTCTTCTTCTCCTTCTTCCTTTTCTTTTTATTTATTTTATTTATTATTATTTTAAAGACGGAGTCTAGCTCTGTCACCCAGGCTGGAGTGCAGTGGCAGGATCTCAGCTCACTGCAACATCTGCCACCCAGGTTCAAGTGATTCTCCTGCCTTATCCTCCCAAGAAGCTGGAATCACAGCCACCCGCCAAAACACCATGCTAATTTTTTGTGTTTTTAGTAGAGACATGGTTTCACCATGTTGCCCAGGCTAGTCTTGAACACCTGACCTCATGATCCACCTGCCTCCATGGCTGAAAGTGCTGGGATTACAGGCTTGATCAACCACGCCCAGCCAAATGTCTTCTTTTGAGAATAGTCTGTTCATATTCTTTACTCACTTTTTGATGTTTTTTTTTTGTGTGTGTGTGAAATTAAGTTCCTTGTAGATTCTGGATATTAGACCTCTGACACATGGATAGATTGCAAAAATTTTCTGTCATTCTGTAGGTTGCCTGGTCACTCTGATGATAGATTCTTTTGCTGTGCAGAAGCTCGTTAGTTTAATTAGATCTCATTTGTCAATTTTAGCTTTTGTTGTGATTGCTTTTGGTATTTTATTCCTGAAGTCTTTGCTCATGCCTATGTCCTGAATGGTATTGCCTAGGTTTTCTTCTAGGGTTTTTGTGGTTTGGTGTTTTATATTTAAGACTTTAATCCATCTTGAGATAATGTTTGTATAAGATGTAAAGAAGGGGTCCAGTTTCTGTTTTCTGAATGTGGCTAGCCAGTTCTTTCAGCACCATTTGGTAAGTAGTAAATCTTTCTCCATTGCTTGTTTTTGTCAGGTTTGTTAGAGATCAGATGGTTGTAGATGTGTGATGTTATTACTGAGGCCTCTGTTCTGTTCCATTGGTCTATATATCTGTTTTGGTATTAGTACTGTGCTGTTTTGGTTACTGCAGCCTTGTAGTATAGTTTGAAGTCGGGTAGCAAGATGCCCCAAGCTTTGGTGTTTTTGCTTAGGATTGTTTTGGGTTGACAGGCACACAGGCTCGTATAGTTGGGGTCACCTGCCCAGAGTATCACAGCTAATTAAGAAGTGAGCTGAGACTTGAAATGCACATGCTCCTTCCCTTACCTGGGTCTGTTGTATAATGCATCTTAGCAGCTATTTAACAGTAGGAATTAGAACATTTGGACATCTTTTTAACAACTTTTTAACCTGCATTTTGATAATGCAGGAAAGACCTTCATCCCGTCCCTGAGCCCCTCTCTCACCACGCTACATCCCACTGCTGACCACATTGTAGGGTAGCCATTAGGAATCAGGCGGGCAGTGGGGGCTGGGAATAAATAAGCAAGGATTATGCTGCCCAAATTTGCTCATCTTAGAAAGTCTCCTCAACCATTCTGTGTGAAGTGATTATTCCAGGGTAATTGTGGCCTGACTGCGCTGCATGTCAGTCTGACTTGTCTTTTTGAAAATCACTGGATTACTCTCATGAACGGGGGTATTTCTCTTTCTATTTGAAAACGGCCAACTGTCCTCTGCAGGTGTCCTGATTTGCTAGTTTAGACCCTGAAGGTAGCGGTGAGAAAATATTTGGGCCACAACAGAATACCTATTCTCAGCTGGAAGATATATAGAAATTTCTTAATAATATCTAACCATTTTCTCAATAACCATTATATTTAACATTGATAGCTTGGAGGGCAGGGAAGGACACAGATGACACAATCTTCAAAGTTTATTTATAAGTTTTTTTTTTTTTGTTCTTGTTTAGTTTTGCTTAGTTTTTGGATACAAGGTCTTGTTCTGGTGCCCAGGGTGGAGGGCAGTGGCATAATGATAACTCATAATTTGGTTGTAACGGTTCTTTAAAATATATTTTTGCTGAGAGTGCTAGCTCACACCTGTAATCTAAACACTTTGGGTGGTCAAGGTGGGATTATCGTTTGATCCCAGGAGTGCAAGACGAGTCTGAGCAACATAAGTAGGCTCAGTCTCTAGAAAAATATTTAAAAATTGTCTGGGTGTAGCTTTGCATGCCTGTAGTCCCAGCTACTTGAGAGGCTGATTTGAAAGCATCACTGGAGCCTAAGAATTTGAAGATGCAGTGACCCATGATTCAGCCACTGCATTGACAGAGTGAGATATGTGTGTGTGTGTCTGTGTGTGTGTATAAAGAATTTGTATGTGAAAAAAATTCAAGCACAGGATAAAAGTGAAAGCCCATGGTGGGGGATGTGGAGAAAGGTCAGTGTGGCTCCAGCAACTCAGTGAGACTTGGTTTTCCATCTTGAAGAATTGCCCATCCACACTGACACCATAGCCTAACATATGCCAGTTCTCACACTACACCTGCTGGGATACCAGTATGTAGCCTTTTGAAAAAAATAAAATCTTTCACCTAAGAGAAGGACAAGAGAAAACGAGGGTTTCACATCTAAAGCCTTCATTTTCTTTATGAATCAACAGCCACTTGTCATTTCAATTGTCCAGAGGCGACTGACAGCACCAATACACTTAATGAATCAACCAGGAAAAATGGGCCTCTCAGGTGAGGAGGAGGCACAATGGTCACAAAACCCAATCCGTTCTCAGCTTTGCATGGTGCTCGCATCTCAAGAAGTGGTGTTAGCCATGTGAACCGTGTTCACTGGACAAGGCCAGAGGAAAGAATATTTAGTACAACACAACTATGGGGCTGCAAATCAAACTGGTAGTGAGAGCATGCATGAGGCTTCAGTGGCCGAGACACTGGTGGCTACCCTTCGGTGTCACTTAAACCTTTGAGGTGAAGGACGTTTATTTTCCCCAATTGGCTCAGAGAAACTAATCAACATTAATATTGAGATTTGTTTTTCTTTTCAAAATTTCTAAGACACAGAGGACTCTAACACTCCAAAAGACATTCAGATATTCTTGCAGCTGAGGACTTGACTGCTCTGTAGAGGGATGGCAGAGCAGCAGCCACCAGCTTTAAGAGCTTTAAGCTCCTCCTCTTATAGGGAAAGGCCACCCCCACACAACCCCCCTAACTTCATAGGCTCTGGCTGTTAGGTGCACCTGGGGGACTGTCTTCCTCCCATCTCATTAGCTCTCCAAGACAGTTCAGCTCAATCTAAAACCTACCCTAAGATGGCGGTATGTAGACTCTCCTCCATTCTCCCAGCGCAGTGTGACTTCTGGAGAGTGCTCCCCCATCGTCTTACCTCAAATGATGTGAAAAGAGCTGGTTCCCGGGTAGTTAGATGTTCAGTGACCTAACAGGCCCAGCATGCGCAGGGCCTGGCCCCACAGCCTGGCACCTCTCTCCTACCTGGCCTTCACTTCGACCTTTTCTCTTCTGTCACCAATGTCAGGTGATGGTCACCAGTGCCACACTCTCATGAGCTTGGTAAGTAGCAGGGGTGTAAACCCCAACAGATTTCCTGTGACTCTACCCTCTTACCTCCCACTCAAGTGACATTATAAGCATAATTTTATATTTGATCTAATTTATGCATAACCTTTTTATAACATTTCTGACAACAGCCCACACAACCACATGAGTCTGGGTTACAGAACACACGGGCGAGGCTCGGGTAGCAGGTTTCACTTACTTTATTCCAATGTGAAATGAAGATTGATGATTTAAAAACAAGACAAAGTTGTTTATCAGCTGTGGGGTGGCTACACTTGCTAGCTCATGCTCACTTCCTTTGAAACAAGGTATCTGGACAGACCATATTCATAAGTAAGACTTCGCAAAACCTCAGACAGAAGTTCCAGTCAGACACAGCTCCCTCAGGCTCACAGGGTGGCAACCGCCTCCATGTTAGGCTCTGACAGCAGGCAAGGAAAGGAGCACAGGCAGCAGGGGACAGGGAGGGTCCGGGACTGTAGGGATCCCCAAATGCCCCAGAGCTATTCTCTGTAGAAGGGCACACGCAGGTCTCACTGTGTCAGTGCAGTGGCTGAATCATGGGTCACTGCAGCCTCAATCTCTTAGGCTCCAGTGATGCTTTCACCTCAGCCTCTCAAGTAGCTGTATGGCAAAAAGCCTCCTACTTTTTACTTAAAACCTGGACTTTAAGCCAGGTTGGGCCTGGGAATAGTGGCAGCAAAAGCAGCAGCCAAATGTATACACTTCAGATGTCTACACTCATGGGCACAGGCATATTCCACACTTGCTGGAACACGAGACGCCTGAGAGGCACCTGTTTCCCAGCTACTAACTGATGTCCACACACCCCATTCACGTGTCTTCATTTAGGTCTCTGCATCGTATATTTGCTCAGCCAGTGCAAACACATCTTCTAGGGGGCAACATTAATTGCAGCACCTGCCCCACTTGTTCTGGGAGGGAGTCAAGAGGAATCTGGTCAGCTCCTAATCCCCCAGGACAAAGGTGATGCCCCCTTTTCAGGACTTACATCCAGCAGCGTCATCTCGGGATGGGTTTTTCAAACACAAGCAGCATGAGGTAGCAAGCATGGTGTGACAGGCTCAGGGCCATGGGCAGCCGGCTTCTGGAGAAGCAGCACAGGGCAGGCACATCTGTGGGTGGCACCATGACAAGCCAAGACAGCCTCAGCCCCTAATCCCAACAGCTCCAGCCCAGATGGCATTCAAATCTTCCCGGATAATATGGGGGTGCCCGATGCCCATCACTCGCCCTCTCATTAGCACGGCCTTGTTGGTTACTCAGGGACTAAGGAGAGGGGGTGGGGGATGTAGATCCAGGGTGGGCACTGCCTCACAGCCAGAGTCCACCTGACTGCAGGCCAGCAAGCAAGCCCAAGCAGCTCAGCTCTAGTCACCTCTGGCTGCACTTTTTATGTGTAATTTACACAAAGGCAGCAAAAGGAGGTCAACATTAGCTGTTGTGACATGAAAGTCTATGCCTCATTAAGACCTTAAAATGCTATTGTCTTAAGCTCTCTTTACTCTAATAAAATTTATACAAATAAACACATACAAGGTGAACTACTATAAAGGAAATATTAGGATTTTTTAAACCCATAAACAGACATGAAAACAGTCACTGTTTGATTGCAGAGAAAGTGAGCTTCTAAAGCACCTGACCACAAAACAGCCTCACCAAACCCCAGGCAGGCCAGGCAGTCTGAACACTACAAGGCCACGTGATGGTCACAGAGGATGACAGCTCCCATGAGTATTGCAAGGCACTGTGTTAGCTTCTCACTCACAGTCTCAGAATACCCTGTGAGGGGAGGCCCCGTCTCACTAGAGCACAGGAGGTTCCTGAGCTCTTCCCAGAAAATGGTCATCAAACGATGGAGCAGGGGGAAGCCCAGACAGAACAAGTGAGTCCCTAGGGTCTCCTTAACCTCCCTCAGCTCCTCCACATGGGTTCCTGAGGGAAAGTGAGCAGTCTCCTAACCCCTTTGTTAGGGTTCCAGTCCTGCAGGTCTGGACTCTCTCATTTTATGCTACCATAGGGGATGACAATGCAACCCCAGGCTCCTTTTTTGCCATCCCTCAATGCCAGGCCAGGCCCAGAGCCATTTGCTGACACAGCCCAGGGGATGCTCAAGGCCCACCTCGGCACAGTCACCTGTAGTGTACTGAGATGAGCAAGGAGGTGCAAGTAGACACAAATCCCCATGGGCTTGGCCTCAGCTATGTTCCACAGGCTCAGGGCCTCGCAGAAGAGCTCACAGCCCTCCTTCAGGAAGCCTGCAGATCACACCCTCAGGGAGCAGTGCTCAGATGAGCAGGCAGGCCCCACATCCCCCACCCCATGACGCTCTGTTCCACTTTGCAGGCTTCTGCATTGGCCAGTCCCCACTGCTTTCTGGTGAGATGTCCGAGTTGAAGTGAGTGTTGAATGCCACACAGCTGATGGAGCTCACTGCCTTGCACATGTTGTAAAACACCTCCTGGTTACAAGGGTCAGCTGTGGAGACACAGCTTGATGGGAGGTAGGCCCACTCCACCATCAGTAGTGCTGGGTTGCCCTGATCTGCACCTTCCAGATACTTGCTGAGATATCTGCATGCTTCTCTAAGGGACTGGGTCACGAGACACCCCTGGCAAGGACCAGCTGGCAGAACAGGCTGGACACTCTCCTTCAGCCTCCCCAGCAGCCCTACCTGTGCTGTCATCTGTGCTGATGATCTCCGTGGTAAGATTATGGGAAACTTTTACAGCAAGTTTTCCTTTCTCACTTCCCTATCTTAATAACAGCACTGATAACTTTTAAGCCCTAGAAAGCTGGAACTGCAAGACACATGATCTTCTGCCTTAGAAGGTCCATGTTTGGGCAGTGTGTGCCCAGGTGAGAGCCCCATGGTTGTTAGTGGAAGCCGGGAGCTGGATGGGCCTGGCCCCATAGCCTAGTGAAAAGTGGGACCCTCTCCTTCCAGAGCATGGAAGTCTCAGAGGCTGGAAAAAGGTGCCTGAGTGGCCTGCCAAAAAGCATAAGGCTAGAAGGGCTGGAAGGAACCCCAACAGTCTTCAAGGTGCCTGAGAGGGCTGGGCTCATTCCAGCTTTCTTTGCTTTCATCCTGATAGCAAGAAAACCTGCTCACACATGGCAGGCGGGCCTGAGGCTACCATTCCCTCATCAGGGGCTATAGGCACTTTAATGTGGCTCTTTCTTGAAGCAGCTGCTCAGGCCGGTTCTCGAAGAGAAGTTCCCTCATTATCCACAGGTTCTTGTTCCAGCCCCGTGTCTGCAGAGGGACTAGGGAGGGAGAAAATCTCTCAGCCTGTGCCCCACAACCTGCTCTGAGATATCTCTTTTGTTACTTCCTCACGGACAGCATCAAACTTCCAAATGAACAGACCAGCATGGAGCCTCCAGAAAAGTGCACAGAATTCTGTCTAGTACCCAGATGGAAGGGGGTTCCCAGTGAGGGCAGGGCCAGGCTGCATGCACCTCTTCAGGAATGTTCTCCTCATTGTCCAACTTCAAGGTGTGCATCCTCTGTGTGTATGCAGTCCATGGCAGGCTCTGCCTGGGGAACCGTCCAGCTGAACACCTGCAATGTGGTGGTGACCCTCTTGAATGAGTGGTTGTGGGCCCCATGGCAGTCATCAGAGAGGGAGATGCTTAGCCCACCAAGCCGAGAGCCCTGCCACAGCCTTCTGTGAGGCCTCCATCTGCTCTGGGTTCTTGCCCTGAAAGGCTGTCCTGAAGTCAAACAGAAGAAGGTGGGCCTCTCTTCCAGGGCTGCTCTTTATCCCACTGACAGCTCCCTAGAGGGCGACTAAGACAGCGGGGACAGATTCCTCAGGCAGAAGGACTGGAGTTTAGGCTGACGGGTTCATTCCATACCCCCACATGAGATGACACAAGGCAGGGGCTGTGGGACAAAGGCATTGCCTTTCCTTCTGGGATGAGGAATGGCATAGGAGACAGGGTATGGTGGGGCTGGGGTTGAGCGATGGGCTTCACTGAGTAAGTGTCCTGGTTATCTGTCCACAGACCCAGAACAAGTGGCATCCCAGGAGCCTGGGAGGGGCTGGCAGAGACTTACTGGTTCCAGCAAAAGCCCATGTGGATGCAGCAATGCTGCCTGCTGGTCCTTGGCTGTAATTACAAACAGGTACTTGAGGTCCCCATGCATCTTGCAGCTCTCAGAGAGTGTGTTCCAGCTGCTCATGGTAGGCACTTTTAGTCACTGAACGTGCTTCAGGAATGGCCAAGCTTGATTAAGCCAGGCGTCTTGCTGTGAGACCCTCCACCCAACTGAGGACCCTCTTCCTTGTTCCCCCTGGCAGTTTCACCTTCCAGTTCTGGTTCTAGAGACACGATGGCCCCTCTTGGGCCCCTGGGAGAATGTGCTCAGGTGACACACTGTCGACAGGGCCCATTTCCAAGCCATTCTTCCATTTCCCACTGTTTGAGGGGCTGAGGCCGGTGATCAGCACAGGGCCACCCAGGGCCAGCTGTCTGCACCTAAACATCATGCTGGTCTGGATGTCTCAGGGCCAGAACTCTCCAGGTGAGATGGCCTGGTCCTCAGCACCTGGCCTCCGTGCTCCTTTTTCCTCTGTTCAATCCTGGCCCCAATGCCTCCCGCAACTCTCAGGTCACCATTGGAGAAGATGCTCAGGAAGAACAAGAAGCTGCAGTCAACCCTGCTGAAGGTGGCATATGGGTCCAGGCTCTTGAGCTGGTCTTCGACATGGTACATGTGGATGCAGGCTTTGAGCAGTGTGAGTAGCTCTTTCCGGAAGGAGGGGAAAACGGTGTTTCCAGGGTCCTACACCCTAGAACGACCCATCTAGCACAGAAAACAGTTTGCAACGTGCTATCATGTGTGATTTTAATTTTCAACTTTAGGCTTTCATTTTCAATTTCCACAATAAACACATAAGGTGGGGTTCTGATTTCAACACACACACATTCTCTCTCTCTCCCTCTCTCTTAGAATCTTCCAGTGCGTTCACACTGAAAGCCAAAGTCCTCCCAGAATCTTGTGAGAACCTAAATGATCTGAATAGTTTGTCATTGATTTTGGGGATCTGGGAAAATCTCTGCACATTTCTGGAGACCGCTGTTATGCCAATTTTAATAAATCTGTTGTGCTTCAATTCAGAAGTGTGTGAAGGGAGTTGTGGAGGAATTGGCATTTGGGTTAGAAATTCCAGGAACACCAGAGACAGATGACACCTGTTTTCTGCTTCATAATGTCAAGTTTTACGATGGCTAAAACCTAATTCTACAAGAAAATTAGACTGAAAAACTTTATAGGCAAAAATTATCTTATTAAATAGGAAAATCTAAGTATTTTATTTTAAAATTTCCTTTTTCTTAGTAGGACCTAATCATAGAAATGTAAACTCTATATGCCAACAGCCTCTACTGTAGGATGGTTTATTGTATGTACTCATTTTACTGATTTCTTACAAAAACTTTTTCCGTAAGGGAAATTAGAATATTGTTCAACATATATTGAATTCACAATTATTACTTTATTTCTCACTTAGTATTTTATGATTCTGTCTTCTTTAATATGAAGATTACTATGACTGTGTTTTCACTTTCTGAATTATCATGTGTCACATTTGTCTGTAATTTCCTTTCAGAAGTTGTAAAATAGCATGCTCAAATGTATATATTATGTATAAATTATATAATTTATAATTTATTAAAATATTTGGCTTGTATGTTTAATTGACTCTAGGCACAATGTTACTATTAGCATCTTCTTCCAGTTTTCCCAACTTTTATTTGACTAATAGTACAATTTATTTCCAATTTTTATTTTATATGTCAATGTTTTATACTGTATTTACAATATTTATATTGTTACCATATTTAGAAATGTAAGACTTTTCAATTAAAAGCTAGATTACAGCCTTATCGTTTTGTGTAAGAAAAGCAGCAATGCATCAGTAGCATAATTTAAAACTTTCTCTAGTATTACTTAAATGCTTATTCCTTAAAACTTTCTCATCACAGCTCTTTGTATTAATTATAATGTGTTTTCTCTGAAATGTTGTTGCCCTAACTGTATCCAAATAATTCAAAATTCATACTTTTCATAGATTCACAGGAAGAGTTAAAAATTGTAGTTACCTGGGATTCTTTTTCATTTGGACACTATGTTTATTCAGGATTTTATGGATTAAAGTTTCTCTTAATTATGTTTTATAATTTTATGTTTCTGTATTTTTTAGAGTAGGCTGTCTCACATCAGTTAATTGTGTTTTTACTTTCTACCTATTTATTATGATTTTGAATTTCATTATTCAAATAAGAATTTGGGGGTTAATGTTTATTTTAACTTTGTTTTGCAATTTTACATTTCTGTGTTTCATGTTTTAGGGTAGGGCACCTTATATTAGTTTATTGTTTTAAGTTTTAATTTGTATAATATAATATTGTATAACAATATTCAACTCTGTATGCATTAAGACAGTGTGGGGCAGAAGTCAAATATGAACCATCCCTATGTCTTTTGTTAATACAATGATTTAACTGTTTGTTTGCCTGTATAAATATTGCCCCTATTTTGTTTATGACTTTTATATTTTCTTCTTATTTGATGGCCAATAATTTATTCTGTCTAAGTGAGTAATCATGGAAATTGTCTTAATTTCAACATCTATTGTTTATATTATCTTAGTGTGAAGGAAAGATTTATGTGATTTGAAGATAATTTTTCAGAAACTTTGTAACTCTCTCCCTTCGGGTGTCTTTTTTTTTTTTTTTTTTTCTTTTGACAGACTCTCACCCTGTTGCCAAAGTGCAGTGGCACAATCTTGGATCACTGCAACCTCCACCTCCCAGGTTAAAGCAATTCTCCAGCTGCTGCCTCTTGAGTAGCTGGCATTAAAGTTCTGCACCACCGCGCCTGGCTAATTTTTGTATTTTTCATGAAGCTGGGGTTTCACCATGTTGGCCAGGCTGGTCTTGAACTTATGGCCTCAAGTAACCTGCATGCCTCAGCCTCCCAGAGTGCTGCGATTACAGGCATGAGTGATCACTCTTGGCCCTTGGGTGTCATTTTTAATTTCGATTGTGGTAAAAATACATAACATAAAATTTAGAATCTTTAATATTTTTTCTTATACAGTTCAGTCATGTTAAGTGTATTTACATTGTTAAGCAACATATTTGTAAAATTTTTTCTTTTGCAAAACTAAAACTCAGTACACATGAAATGACAACTACCCATTGTCCTTACCACCTGGCTCCTGATAAAAATCATTCTATTTTCTGGTTCTAAGTTTCAATACTTTAGATATTACATATAAGTAGAATCATAGAGTATCTGTTTTATTGTGACTAATTTTACTTAGCATTATGTTCTCAAGATTCCTCTTTATTGTGGATGGTACAAGATTTTCTGCCTTTAAAAGCTAAGTAATATTCCATTAGTTTTATATTACAAATTTTATTTATTTATTCATTCTATGAGGAAAATTTGTGTTGCTTTCACCTATTGGCATTTCTGAATAATGCTGCAATGAATATTGGTATGCAAATAGCTATTTGCTCATATGTGTGAGGTTTACATGTGTGCTACCTTCTGTTTTATTGGAAAAATTGTCTGTGTTTATGCCAGAAACAAACTGTTTTCATTGCTGTTGCTTTGTAATGTGCTTTGAAATCAGAAAAGGTGAGGTCACTAACATTGTTTTTTTTAAACATTTTGGGGCTCTTTATGGTCGCTTGAGATTCCATATAATTTGTTGGTTCCTTTTTCTATTTCAAAAAAAAAGTTCTTAATTTAAAAGGGATTGCATTGAATCTGTAACTCGCTTTAGACATCATAAGCATTATTCATAATATTAAGTCTTACAACCCTTAAACATGAGCATGCTCAAAAGTGAGTTGTTTAATTTCCATATATATGTTGCTATTTTTGTTTTCTTCTGTTATTCATTTCTAGTTTTATTCCATTTTGATCAGAAATAATAGCCATTGAAAGGCTAAACCACTCTGGGAAGTGACCCCCATTATAGAACATTACAAAGAGATGTGAGGGCACCACTTCTGCCCTGATGGGCTACTGGGATGAGTTCTCTTAGATGACACATTGCAGACAAATGTAGGAAACAATATAACCCCTTTTTCATGTAAACTCTTCCCTATTTTTGTAGAGTATTAGTGATAGTGGTGGCTTTCAAGTCTTGGAGAAAGTCTGGCAGTACCATGAACCTGCTTGCTACAGATGATATCAGAGGGGAATAATTAAAACTATACAAACTGTAGTAACATGAATAAATGCAGCCTAGTGTAAAGTAAAAACAACACAAAGGCCTTCTCTGATATTTCTACAAGAATGTAAAAAGGGACTTTACACTTAACCAAGTTGCCACTGGGACCAGTTAAGGCTAGATTTTTGGGGGGTAGATCTGAGGGTCACTCATGGAAATCCCCTAGGAGAAAGCGCAGAGAAATTCCATATTTGGGTCTGGATCCTGGACCCATCCTGGTTTTGTCAGGTCCCTCTCTGTAGAGAACCCCATGTGCCTGCTCTCAACATAACTCATTGTATGCCATGCTTGGGGGGTGTGGTGAACCTGCCAGTTGTCCAAGGAGATGGGGGACTTGAACCCATCAAATATCTGCTCACTGATTTTAATGCAGCTCTACAAAGAGTGTTCCCAGCAGCGAAAAAAGTTAATTGTCTTCTTTGTTTTTACCACCAGGTGACATCTGCATTAGAAATTCTGTTTCCTAGATCAGGAACATAGGAGTATCTGCATAGACCCCCAGCCAATGAGGAAACCCGAGGACAGCTTAAGGCCTTGGGATTCACATCTGAGTAGACGTACTTGGTCCGCAACTCACAACTTTTTATTCCACCAACCGTGACCTGGGTATGAACATGACAGACCCACCAGGGTTCCTGTGTCTTAAAACCTGCCCCTGTGAGGAAAAGCCCCCTCCTTTCCTGCTCCCCTTGCAACACAGGGTAATGGTAGGCAGGGTCGGGTTGCCCAGATTAGATGACACAGGTGGCCTGGCATGGACGGACCTGCCCTGGGCTAAACTGTGTTACCTGTGGGTGCCTCTTGTCGAATGGCCAGTGGTATCAAGGATGTAGGCTGAGCCAGTATGTATACTGTCAGAAAAGGCTCTCACTTTGAGCCTTTCTCAGGCAACAGCTTGGGAATATAACACAATGAGAACACAGTGCCCTCTCAAGCATCTCCCAAGAAGTTAGCTAGATACAGGGCTGTCTCTAGAATGTGGGTTTCTGGTTCCCAAAGTTCTAAATTCTGTTAGGTTTTGTCACAAGGGAAGTCTGTTAACTTCTTCAAGGTTTTATCCCCTGAGCCCTTTTCCTCCATAAATCTACGCAAAGTCCCTGCTGGGCTGCTGATTGCTCACCCTCCTCTCCCATGTCAACTCTTTACCTGTAAACAGTTATGCAAACACAATTATGTCCCTTAATTCCCAAAAAGTTCTAAATGCAGCCAGGGCCCCAGGTTTGAGAGAACAGAGTTGGGTTAAAATCTTCTTTTCCTTTTCATTTCTGTGACCATATGAAAATGACTGTGTGCTTCAGGTCTCCCCAGCCCTGAAGTATGCATAATGGGATTATGCTAACATCAACTTCCAAAAACAGTCTTTGGTGATATATGAGATAGAATGAATCAAAATCGGTTGGATGCAGTGGCTCTTGCTGTAATCTTAGCAGATTGGTAGACCAAGGCAGCTGGAACACTTAAGGCCAGGGGTTTGAAACCAGCCATGGCCAGCATGGCAAAAACCCTTCTCTACGAAAAATCCAAAAATTAGCCAGATGTGTTGATGCATGCCTGTAATCCCAGCCACTCAGGAGGCTGAGGTGTAAGAATCACTTGAGCCCAGGAAGCAGAGATTACATTGAGCCATGATCCTGCCACTGCACTCCAGCCTGGGTGACAGAGCGAGACTGTGTCTCAAAAAATATATATATATATAATGTATATAAATATTTTTATTTATATATTATATATAACTATATATATATCAATTATATATAACTATATATAATATATAAACTTATACATATATATCTTTATATATAAAAGATACATAGTTTATGTATCTTTATACATAAAAGATATATATTTTATATATATGGCCTTAATTTTCCATTCCACAGCAGAAGAGGTTGAAATTAAAAGAAAATCAGATACTGTCTTCTGGCATTAAATATTCCAGTGCTGTGCATTATATTTAGAATCATATGTATATGCCTCATCTCAGCCTATGTGGTGGGCACCCCCAACAAAGTCTCACAACAACACTAAGTTGTGAGTGACTCTGTTATTTTAAAACGCAGCTCACCTCTCAGTGCCTCAGAAGCAGGTACTATAACACCGGGTTTCTAACAGAGAGATGGGATTCCAGCTCAAGTCTGTTTCCCTGTGCTTACTTAAAGGTAGTAATATTCTCAGAAAGGTTTAGGAGGTAGGTTCTGGATTAGTACGGAATTGCTTAAAGGAAAAATGTATGGAAAATCACTGGGCATGAACAACTATTTTTTCTTGCTACACACAGATCACATGTGCAAATTTGGGGACAGTTAGTACAAAACATGTGATGGAAATTTGGGCTCTGACATCAGTGAGCTTATTTCACACAGACTCCAGTTGACCATATTGGTTCCGACCAATTTTAGCCACTTTTTAGAAGTCTCATAAGTGGAATAAATTTCATTCTTTCAACAAGTTGTATCTTTTCTTATCTGTCATTCTGCAAACTGAAGAATTTCTGTTAGTCATTGGATGAACTCTTTGGGGACCTGGTTCTAGTTTCTGTCAAAGGGAAAACAACAAATGTGATAGGTTATCACTTCTGACTTAGTTCAGACTTCTATACCAAAAAACATAGACTAGGCAACTTATAAATAAAAAACATTAGTTCTAGAGGCCAGAAATTTGAGATTGGGCTTCCAGCATGGTTGGGGTCTGGTAAGGACTCTCTTCTGAGTTTCAAACTCCAGACTTCAGGTTGTTTTCTCATTTAGCAGAGAGAGGGAGAGACAGCCTTCTGCGGTTTCTTTTACAAAGCCCGTAATCGCTATCATGAGGTCCTCATGCTTCGGACTTAATTACCTCTGACCTGCTAAGGCCATTACACTGGGGATTAAGGTTCTGGTATGTGAACATGGTGGGGAATCACATAGTCTTCTGCAACTTCCAAAGTTATATTTCTAAAACAGCTATTATTTTCCTCTTACTTGCTCTGTCCTGTGTGTCCTCTCTCAATCTCTCTGTCTCCCTTTCTCTCTTTTTCTCTGCATATGTCTGTCTATCTCTTTCATTTTTCATCTCTGTATTGTAATCCTCAAGATGAGGAAGTGATCTGCAGTGTCCTAAGATGCTCTAGGCACAGACCCACATGATAGAGAACTGAGGAGATGCCCAGGCCAATCGAGAGGAAGGAACTCGGGCTCTCAGTTCACACTGAATCGTGCCAGTTTCCATGAGGCAGATAGAAGGCTGATCTCTCCTCAAATCCAGCTTCAGTTGAAATCACAGCCCCAGCCTCGTAAGAGACCTTGAGGCAGAGGCACCCAACTAAGCTATATCGAGATTCTGGTTCACAAAAGTTGTGAGATAGTATTTGTTGTCAACATGTGCTAAAATTCAGGGAAATTTTGTCAGAGAGGGGCAAATGACTAATCTCCTCTTTCAGTCCCCAGGATCCTCCCTCCCCTCTTTTCCTTTCTTTCTCAGGCTGCCTGCCGCCACAATTGTCCCGTTATAACCTCCTCTGCTGAACTCACCTGTGCCTGTGAGTCTCTTCACAAAGAGTGGCTTTTCCCTGACACACTTTGCACACCTGCGCAGGACTGGCTCTCTGTTGTCATTCTGGTCACAACATAATGTCACCTCAGGGAGGCATTCATGTCCCCTCCAGGCAACCTCTCCCCAGCCCTCCCTCCCAACATTCTACTTTATTTCCATTATAAAATGCTCTTTTCTTTCACATGTACTTGCTTTAGTGTTTTTGTCCTGCCGTCCTCAGACTGTGGGCTCCCCGCGGGGAGGCAGGGATAACATAATCATTTTTGGTACCATAAGGTGAACCTACCAAGGTAGCTGCCACATGGTGAGTGCTAGGGGAAGAGTCGCTGAGTAAAATAACATGGAAAATCACAAAGCCCTTCTTCCCACTTTTGGCCACCCAATAATGTGGAGATCATGAATGATAACAGGAGCTGCAGGACCTCAGCCTGTCTCTCCCCCGGCTCCAGCTGCTCCAGTAAAGCCCAGCGGGCATAAGAAACACGGGGTCTGCCGCCACCTAGAGGCCTCCACTAGCCCTGAAGTCCCAGGTGGAAGCATCACAAAACAGGCACCTGCATTGGGGAATTCTCAAGGCAGTGGCTATTCAAGGACCCCTGGGAAAAGGAGCAGTATCTGAAGACTCCAAGGGCCATAAAAGTAACCTCGGAAACCTCCCTTGATTCCTATTTTCCTCAGCCTCTTTGAGTGTGCTGTGCACTCATTAAACACTTTAACAGCATTCAGAGACATTATTTTCTTCCACTTCTGAATGAGGACCTCAAGGACAGCCCAAAAATCTAGTATTTTTTCTGGGCCCCACACTCCAGAGCCCAGTGCATTGTCACATTCTGCTTTATTCCAAGTCCTCATCTGCCCACATCTCTAGGCCTCTCTCTTCTCTGAAGGACCTCTAGAACCTGAAAAGCCTCTTCCCAGAGTCTCAAAGCACAGTGAGTTACCAATGAAGAGCCAAGGGGAGCAGACACTTATGAGTATCTAGAATTCTTGGTATTATTCCTTTTGAGTACCCCTATTTATGAGAGAGAAAACGAAGGTTTTCTTTCCCGTAGCCTCACTTTATATCACATGGGGTGGTTGGGGGAGGGCATAGCTCATTTTAGTTCCAGGTGCCCATAGAGGTGGGAGTCACAACCCCTGTCCTGTCCTCTTGAAACAGCTGGGAAGATCCCCAGGCCTGGAAGAACCCAGGGAACCTGGAGGATCCTTCATCACATGCTGTCAGCTCCTGGTCATGTAGCTGGGGGAGTGGATGCCTCTGCCTCATGGCAAAGCTGCCTCTTCTATTTCTTCCCGTTTTGTCACTTCTCTGGTTTCCTCTTCTCTAACCTCACCTCCATGATCTCCACCTTAGAAGCCTGTGTGTGTGTGTGTGTGTGTGTGGTGTGTTTGTGTGTTCATGGCTGCACACCTATGTGAGAATAAGGAAGGGTAGAAAGCCCAGGTAGAAAGTAGACCACAGGGTTTTCCAGGACTTAAGAGCACTCATTTCCAAAGCAAACCTGATGGGTGGGGTGCATGCAAGGCCTTGGAAGCTGGATCCCTCCCTAATACTCTGTGCTCTTCCCAATTTCTGGGATATGGACCAGTCTTTGCCTTTTTTGGGGGCCTCAGTCTTCCTGTTGTAAAATGGATAGGTGGTCACAAAACTGCATAAACACATGCTCAGTGAAGACAGGGTGTCATGCTCAATACCAGATAGAATATTGGGATGGGGAGAGTTTGAGCAGACTTTTGTGTCCACGGTAGCTCAGGCCTCTGAACAGGGCAAATGCAGGTGAACATAAAGCACGGCACAGCCAGGTTTTCTTACCAGGGCTACGGGATGAAACAGTGCACCACAGGCTCTGTTCTGGAGGCTGGTCCCGCAAGATTTTCCCTCCTTCAACCAGCAACTGTTTGATGAATTTCATGTCCTGTGAAGCCCATATCCACCCCCATTACAGTGAGGGGCACAGGGCACTAGACCTGTAAAATAATGTCTTTTGCCTTTTTTTCTTTTCTTTTCTTTTTCTTTTTCTTTATCTTTTTCTTTTAACTGAGTGGCTGTTTCTTCTTTCTCTTTTTCTGTTTTGTTTGTTTTTTAACTAATTTTTAAGAGGTCTTTACAGGTCAGCTGTGGTGCCTCACATCTGTAATTTCAACACTTGAGAGGCTGAGGCGGGCGGATCATTTGAGGTCAGGAGTTAAAAACCAGCCTGGCCAACCTGGTGAAACCCCGTCTCTACTAAAATTACAAAAAATTAGCCGGGAATGGTGGCACAAGCCTGTAGCCCCAGCTACTCAGGAGGCTGAGACAGAAGAATTGCTGAAACTTGGGAGGCAGAGGTTGCAGTGAGCCGAGATTGCACGTCTGCACTCAAGACAGGGTGACAGAGTGAGTCTCTGTGGAAAAAAAAAAAAGAGAGAGAGAGAGGGAGAGAGAGAGTGCCCTTTATGGAAATGCGAGCCCATTTGTAATTTCATGAGTTGTAAATATTTATTCCAATTTGGGAATTTCTTTTCTTATTGTGGTGTTCTCTTTAAGTTTGTTTTGGATGTTATTAGTGTTTTGTTTTGCTTTGTTTCTATGTAACTTCTCCCTAAATTGATTCATAGATTTCCATTTTCACAATACAATATTTTGGCAGAAATCTTGTGGAAACTGTCTAATCAGTTTAAAAAATTTAAATACATATAAAAAATCGAAGAAATGTAAAAACTGTCCTGAAGAATAACAAAGTTTGTGAGCTTAAAATGACATATATTCAGACTTAGATTAAAGCTATAGTAATAAAAGCTATCTATGGTAGTAATGCAAAAATAGGCACAAAGAAAACTAGAAAAACTCGAGAGTCCAACTCAGACTCACACATTTGGACATTTTGTATATTACAAAACAGGCACAGAAGAGGAGTGAAGACAGTCTTCTCGGTAAATAGCCTTGAGTCAACCAGTTATTTATGTGAGAAAAAACACTCCTATCTTATATTATTAACAAATTCCAATGAAAAGTGGATTTTAAATTTTAAGGTCAAAGCTGAAAGCAATATTTCTAGTAGATAACATAGATAAATATGTCCATGACTGGCACAGGCCCAGATTTCTTGGGACACAAAATGCATTAATTCTCAAGACAAAAATATGACAAATTGGACTTTATTACAATTAAAACCTTCTCTTCATAAAAAAAACCTTCAGGAGAGCTGAAAGGCAAGAACAAAGTGGAAATCAACATTTGTCATATATTGATGTGGCAAAAGCCTTTTATCTAGTTTATTTAACTAAATCCCATCAATTAATAAACAAAGATGCAATACATTGAACAAAATTGACAAACATGTGACTAGGAGTTCCACATACAGAACCGAAGGGCCAACAAGTAGATGAACATATCCACATCCTTATGCATCAGAACAATGCATATGAAAACTACAATTGAATGCCACTATGCAATCATTCACATTTTTGAAAACTGACAAAATTAAGTACTAGTGATGATGTCAAGCAACTGGAACTTTCTTATACCATTCTGTGTGCAAACTGTTATAACGGCATTCAAAACCTCTTGAGTAGTAACTCCTTACATACACGATGTACATAAGCACACTCTAGGACCCAGCAACTCTGCTACTAGGTATATACACCCAATAGAAATGCCAGCATATTTTCCAATGCAGACAAATGCTCTAAGCAGCATTATTTGGTACTTTTCCAAACTGAAAAAAACTCAAATGTGCATCAGTAATAAAATAACTAAATAAAACAGCTACATATTCCTTTATAAGGGGACATTATACAGATATAAAATTAATTGGAGACATATTAAAATATACAAAAATCTAACAAATACAATTTAATTAGATTTAAAAGTCCTATCCACAGCAATCAGCCAATAGAAAAGAAAAAGGCATACAAATAGAAAAAAAAAATGAATTCTCTTTCTCCATTTGCATTATGAGTCACTACGTAGACAATGCTAAAGTCTTTCCAAAACTCCTTTTGGAGAAAACTTGAAAAGCCTCCTGAAATGGATAAGCAAGTAAAGTTTTAGGACACAAAACCAATGTACAAAAACCAGTAGTATTTCTATGCATCAACAACTTTGAATTCCTGAACATCTTCTGGTTTTATTGCATTTTCAATTTTTTCCCTCCATTAACTATACATTTTTTCTTTTTTCAGCTAAACTAATTTATTCTTCTGTATAATTTCACCTTGTTAATAAACCCCAGGCCAAAAAGTGGGAATAAAGTATTTGTCTGCATCCTGTTTCCTCATTTTGAAAACTAGTCTAGATGAAACCTATACTTGTTCTAGGGAGTTGGCATAGACAGCATTTATTTCCGTTCTCAGCAGTGATGCCAACCAGAAAGAGGGAGTTCCGCATTTTCACTTTGGTTAGACAGGACTCTGGATGGTTGTAGGGGAAAAGATCCAAACTCTAAGGGAGTCAAATCAGACATTGCAAAGATTTATACATTTACTCTGGGAGCAATTATTGTGTTAAATTTTGTGCAAAACACTGCGCAAAGAGCAATTAAAGTGAAAATTATTAAGGCATTACCTTTACCTTGGGAAACTCACACTAGTCAGATTCTCCGAACCCCAGAACATAACAACAACCTAGTAAAATCTTGTTCAGAGTGAAGAGAGGGTGGGAGCAGGAAGGTAAGATTAAAAATTAGGCTGGGTGAATGAGATAATTACCCCTAGTCAAGCAGTGGAAGTATGGATGGCTTTGGGATGGGTGAAGACAAAAGAATCTCAGCAGAGGGTGCAGATAAAAAAAGGCAGAAACACAGGAGGCTTATGCAGGAAGAGGAATGAGTTTGCTGGACTGGGGAGAGTGACAGTAAAAAGCAGAGGATAATAGGCATCTCTGGTCATCTAGGGACTATAGGGTGGATTAGTTGGGGGTTACAGAATCAGTGAGGTACTTTTTAACAGTAGGATGGGTAAATAAGAGCTATAATTTGGAATAATTATGTAGCAATGGTGGTTAGGAGCAATAGAAACTCAAAGTATTACATAAATATTTTTTTTCTTATTCTCCCACACAAGCGTTTTGCCTTTCCTCTTAAACTGAGAACGGAGTGGTTTGCTATGATGTTTTTAAATTCTCACAGACAAGCATTATTGTTTGCTGCCTTTTAGTAAAGGTTAGTTTTAACCAAATTAAAGAAGATTGAATGGATTTTCTTGCTCATAAGGGTTGAGTGCAATATCTCATACCTTCTACTAGTTTTCAGTATAACTGAAATAACAGAGTGTCAATACTCCATGGAGGGGTGTTCCGCTTGCTAAGGCTCCCTCCTCTGGGCTAGGCCTTCTACACCATGGCTGTCCTGCTGTGGCTGGAGCTGGAATTTGGATTGACCTCTGTGTGTCTTCCTAGCACACAATAGGTGTCCAATTAGCATGGGCAGAATCAAGCTCCTCCCTCTCACCATTTATTTCTCCATTTGTCCCTTGTTGGGAATGGAGAGTCCTGCCACTGAGTTCAGCCCAGGGTTGAAGTTCAAATCTCAGCTGATACTTGGTGGATGTTGACTTTTTTGAGAAGAACTTGGGAGAATAAAACATTATAAAGGCGCTGGCCAGGCACGGTGTCTCATGCCTGTATTCCTGGCATATTGATTGGCTGAGGAGATAGAATTGCTTGAGGCCAGGAATTTGATACCAGCCTTGTCAACATAGTGAGACCCCATTTATACAAAAAACTTGAAGCATTAAAAACATTTAGCCAGGTGTGATAGTTCCAAACTGTTGTCTCAGCTATGCTGGATATTGAGGCAGAGGATCACTTGAGCCAGGAGTTCTAGGCTGCGGTGAACTATGATCACGCTACTGCACTCCAAACAGGCAACCACGCAAGATGATTCAAAAATAAAATCTTTTATTATTCTTCACCCCTATAGTCTCTCCAGAACTTGTGCACTATGTAGCAGAAAGAATCAAACTCCCCAAGAGTTTGGTTCTTGCTCATGATTTGGTTTTCTGCTGCTTGGCTGCCCCGTCATGTCCCCATTTTGTATAAAATAAGAACCCCCCAGTGAAGTGGAGTTTCTCCCCAGCAGAGGGTCTCACCAAGGCCCCAAGACTGGCACTTTAGGTGGAGGCTTGCCTTTCAGCCTCTGAATAATAATTGATACTAAAATTGAGAAGTTTTCCAGACACCAGCTTCCTGAAAGGAGCATCCAGTCAGAAGACAAGATGAGGTCAGTAGCGAAGGTGACTCAGGCTGAGTGGGGAAGTCCACCAGCGTATCTGAAGACTGAGCTAGGGGAGGGTTTCCCTAATGTTCACTCCTTCTGCCCTCCATATATTCCTCTACTTTTCCCAAACTTCCCTCTGACATCCTCCAAACTTTCTATCTTCCCAGGGCTTTCTTGCCAGGGAGTCTAATGAAGTAAAAGCTTTAAAATTGCTTTGATTTTAAAAATAATTTTATTGATTCTTAAAATGTACCGACACAAAATTAGAATACCAATTCTTAAAATGCTTAAAAAGTAAATTAAGTGTAAGTTTACATTTAATTATCTTATTTGATTCCTAATTAAAATACAAAAAAAATTTTTTTTGAAACAAGGTCTTGCTCTGTCACCCAGACTGGAGTGCAGTGGTGAGATCTTGGGTTATTGCAACCTCCACCCCCTAGGTTCAAGCGATTCTCATGCGTCAGCCTCCCAAGTAGCTGGGACTACAAGCACACACCACCAATTGGCTATTTTTTGTGTTTTTAGTAGATATGAGGTTTTGCCATGGTGCCCATACTGGTCGCAAACTCCTGGTCTCAAGTGATTCACCCACCTCGGCCTCCCAAAATGCTGGGATTACAGGTTTGAGTCAACACACCTGACCTTAATTTTTTTTTTAAATTATAGGTAAATTTAAATTACTCAGAAATAGTCAGAATTAACCGTTGAATACCCTGAATCTTTTTCCCATGCATAAGCCTTTCTAATCTTTCTATTCAAATTTGGATTTGATTCGGTTCTAGTGTTTTAAAACCTGCTTTTTTCCTTCAAAGAAATGCAGACCATCTCACAGGCCAATGGACATCACAGATTTTCTGATGCTTAGAGGCTGACTGGTTGTTTATCTATGACCTCCCATAATGTACTTAAGTAACACCCTCTTGATGATGGGGTTAAGTTGTTGAAATTACCTTATCTTTTCTGAAGCACTACGTGGAAAATATTAGATCTTGAAAGAAACACATAAACCCATACCACACACTTCCTTTGAAATTCTCTGCTGCTTATTTAAAGAGATGTTTATTCCTGACTAAGGTCCTACATTACACTCTCTGTAGAACTTTTGGAAACTATAAAATTACAAGAGAATCAATAAAGCAATTTAATTTCTCACAGGATCCTGCTTCCTATAAGAAACACATCAATTCCTATAATTCGGCATATTTCCTCTCAATCATTTTTCTACACATTTTAAATTTTGAGCTCTAATGTATAAGTTTGGTTATACTTTTTAATGTGTGCCTTTCATTAATTTGTTTAATGTTATATCATCTCATAAGCACTTCTCCATGTGATAAAAAATTCTTTGTACATCCCATTTTTAATACATATATGTAGCTCCAAAGAAAAGGCATATCTTGTTTACTCTTCTAATCCCGTAGTATTCGAAAACTTTGTTTTTCCAATTCTTTGAGATAATAAACTGGTTAGGGTTAGTATTTTGGTCCCCATTTAAATTTTCTAAGAGTTGCCTTTCTACAAGTGGCTAAGTGACTGTTACAAGGAGAAGAGCCCTCCTGAAGGGGTGTGCCATGGGGTTGAGGCCTCCCTGCAAAGTGCCTTCCTTGTGGCAGATCCCCATGTGTCTTTCTAAAATCAGCACAGTCAGACTGAGAGTGATTGGAATTCTGCAGCTGTGAGCCCTCTCGAATCTTCCTTGAATTCAGATGCAACTAATCTCCTCCTTGGTGGACACCAGGAAGTAGGCTGTAGAGCATTCTGTGACCCTGAAGAATGACACGATGTTCTTGATGAAGAGGGTGGATATTCCTGAAGGAGAAATAATGTTTTCTCAACAGCAGAAGCAGATATCAAGTTTATTCAATGACTGGGTCATGGAAAATCCTGTTCTCTACAGGTTGATGCTACATTCCAGGCAAACCCACACCCTCGGTGTATGCCAGAGGCTTCAGAAACACAAAGGAGCTCATACAAGATGAGTGCCAGGCAGCTATGAAAAGAGCTGAGATTCTAAACCACAAATAAAGACAACTACGAATATAGGTGAGACGAAAAACTGTAAACCTTCTTAAGGGTGTACAACATGTAACAACGGCTCCCATTAGCTCATGTTTAGATACCAAGGAAATAATAGCAGGAATGTTTTATGTTCACATTCCAAACAAAACCTATTATCATTCTTTGTCAGTTCATTTAGTCCTGTTTTATTCATACTTGTTTTACTCTATCTTGTAAGCACATATGCTTCTCTGCTAGAATTAGAGAAATAACTTAGTCCACTGATAGTGTTTCAAAGTTATGTAAGTCATTCTATCAGAAGCCTGTTTATAGGAGTACTTGGTACAGTTATTTCTGTGGGTCTCTGAGATATTCTTATTTTGTTGAAGACAAAGCCCTGTGGCCTGGAACTGATTTGCAAGCACTTTTAGAAAAATAGCCGAGTACAACCAAAAGTATATACTAATGAAAAAGTAAGCCATGCTTTCAGGTATGTAGTTAGTTGATACACTAAAATATTCTTTTATATAATGCAAACAGCACTAACACTTTAAAAAATAGAATTATATTATGCACAGTGAGGGCACTGGAAATTTTTTTAAAAACTTTAATTTCTGGATTATTTACGTTAATAACAATTATGTAAAAAATTTAACCTAGGGGAAGCTAAGCATATGTCTTATTATTTAATATAACAATATGCAAAATAGGCACGTTTCCATATATGATACTAGGACATAAAGTGTGCTGATACAAATATGAAACATAAAATATAAGTAAGAAATAGAAAAAATGACCTGTGTATGTTGATTATTTATATGTGTTTATTACTATTTTTAGTAAATTAGATTATGTAAATATGTATTATATTTTAGGCAGCAGCAAATATTAACATATTTTTTAACGTGCAGCTTAGATAAGAATTGATGATTACAATTTATTAATATTAGCTACTTACGACAAACATTATGCAAAAAGAAACTCTAAAAATAATTTTGTATTAACTTTGAAAATTTTAAACTCTTTTCCACAGAAGTTTTTAAATTACAGACAATAAAATAGAAAGTTTATAAAAAAGAAAATGGTACTGAGAAATAGTTGGATTTTGATTCATTATTTTTTCTGAATATTAGTACTTGGAGCTTCACTGTTAATAATGCCAATAGGCTACACAAATTTTCTCTTCAGTAAAATGGCAAAACAGAAGGCATTCAATTTTTAAATATAAGATGCAATTTTATTACCTTTTTTCTATATAAAAGACACAAAATTTAGACCAATAAAAACAGAATTTCTTCCATGAAATTTCAAGAGCTGAGCTGAGCTGGGAAGAGCTAACCTGCTTAATATCAGAGTTTTAAATTAAAGCAAGAGGCCCACATCAAAGAAATAGTTATGCCTTTTTGTCTTCCTTTCTGTGATTGTGTTAAACAACAGGCAACATTAGATCAAGCACCGACTCCTCATTGTTCCATTTTTTCCTCATGGAAAAGCACCAGGAAAGGGTCAGATGGATCAGCACAAATATGGGGCACTGTCTCACTGCCGAGGTGGCACCCTCATAAAAAACAGGCCCGCAATTTTGTGGAAAAGGGGGCAGGAGAGCGTAGAGGAGAATGTATGAGCAAGATTAAAGAGAATTGAATATTAATAGGAATCTATAAAAATTATTATCAAAGTTCCATTTCTTCTCCAGAAACAGGGATCTGAACAAAAGTTTCTGAAGAAGGCCTCAACCAAAAGGCCCTCAGGAAGGTGCCCCTGAATCTAGATGCCTGGACTGGGAATGAAAATCTACATGTGAGCCTCAGTGGCCAAGATTTCCGGTATTGTTTATTTCAGCCCCTTAGAGACTGCAAAGCGCTGACATTTACATGCTTCTCCTACATGCACATGTCAGCAGCAGTGTGATAACCAATGCTTTCAAAGATATAATGTGGGTATGAGAGTTTCTGGCAAAAATTTAGATAATCTTATCTTTTCAACCTCAAATAACAATATATGCTGAGAAACTTCAAAGGCATGTACCTCCACAAATAATTTTTCAGGAAAGAATGAAGAAGCACAGCTGTAGAATAAAAATTAGGCTGGAAGTTGATGCTACCTGTGGGAATTGCTAATAATGGAAGCACAGGTTGTTAGAATTTAACGTGTCTGATTGGTGAATATAATGTCACAGCAGCATAGATGCAGGAGTACTTGGATCTGACTATGCTATCTAAAGCTAGAATCCTTACATTTTCAAAAGTTTAGAAAAATAGGTTAGTTAGTGGAGGTGGTATTTCTCCTCTTTGGTTGATTTGGAAATTAACACCAATCATCATATGAGTTTCTGGTTTATATGTACACTATGTGTTTTACTCAGGACAATTTAGGTAAATATATAGACTTAATCATTTTCAGGTGTCTGTAAAGGGTGCATTATTAACATTACAGATAACTTTTCACTGGAATAAAATACCTCGACCCAGAATCTTCAATGGCCCCATCAATTGAGGTCAGTCATTTATAATAAAATGAAGTCTACTATTCTTTTTAAAATATACAAAGTAAAAGTCATCAAGATCAAAGTTATTAAGAAACAAAATTATAAGAAAAACACAGCTGTACCATTACATCTTAAAAAATCCCAAAATTGTATATATACTGTAGAAATAATATAAGTAGTTATAATGTTTAAATATATTAGAGGAAAAGTTTAAAAGTAAGATCAAAATAAGTTATATTATCAAAATAATTAGGTAAAAATTTTAAATTTAAAGGATAGAATGCATAGAAAAATTACATAATTGAAAAAGAAATTATGAATTAGAAGATATGATGAAGTGAATATTTAGAAGTCCCAATAGGGATAAAACAAATAAACAATATGAAAAATTAAAATACATAAAAATCTAAAATAAGTCATGTTGTTTAAGTGCAAGTTCGAATAAATAAAATGGAGTGAATGTCAAATAGGGAATAAAAATATATAATTATTAAAATAATTAATTATAATAGCTTAAAGGCATTCTGATCAAAAGAAAAACAATAGTTAAAAGCATAATACCATAATAGAGAAAATCACGTAAAGCTATCTAAGATAAAATTCAAATTAATTATAAAGCAATGAAAAGAAACATATTTCTCAATATGTGAATAAGATCAAGAATCCAATAGGTTATGGTTTTCAAAGTTCTGAGGGAAAAACATGTAAATTTAAAATTACATATATTTGAAAAGTTATTTTCAGGTTTAAGGACAAAATGTAACTTAATACACAAATACAATGTAAGTATAATTACGTCAGTGAAATGCATTTAAAATTTGCTGAAAATTTAGTTTATAAAGAAAAACACTCTTCCTGAGAACAAACATTGAGATAAAATAAATGTGCAAACATCTAAATAGATGGAAACTATATTAACACTGTGTGAAATTATACACAATATGTGATATATCCATGTGAAGCATATTTATGGAAGCATAAAAGAAAATGTTATCCCAAGAGTTATATTAAATAAAAGAGTAAATTTGATAATAGATGAGTAACTTATTTTATATCAGTATAATGTATATTTAAGAGATTTTTGTCACTAAATTATTAAATATTGAGTGCAAATCCTATATACTGTTTGAACAATACTATTATTTTCTCAGCAAAGATCAGCACTGAAAGACTGACTCCTGCATAGCCACTGACCACAGCTTCTGGAACAACAAAAGCATTGAATCATTAATCCTGAATGTGGCCAATGAGCATGAGATGAGGAAATCTACCCAGTTCATGACCACAAAGCAACTCACCAGCAGCTGGATGGCCTGGGTAGCTTATTTCTCTGGAGAGACTTAGACAGTGACTCCTGATACAGAGATGCTGAGACTGCATTTTGTGCCTGGAGGAGAGAATTACCACGTGTGATTGAGAGCATCAGTGTTCCTCCAGAAGAGACATTTCTAAATGCTGCTAGTGTGAAAACCGAGCTTATGTTCACGTAGCCCCTGGGGGAAGAAAAACAGTAATATTTAACAGTACATTTTAAGAACCAATAAAATTATTTTTAAAATCAAAGCAATTTTAAAGCTTTTACTTCATTAGACTCCCTGGCAAGAAAGTCCTGGGAAGACAGAAAGTTTGTAGGATGTCAGAGGGAAGTTTGGGAAAAGTAGAGGAATGTACGGCCCACTCAGCCTGGGTCACCTTCGCTACTGACCTCATCTTGTCTCGACTGGGTGCTCCTTTCAGGAAGCTGGTGTCTGGAAAACTTCTCAATTTTAGTATCAATTATTATTCAGAGGTTGAAAGGCAAGCCTCCACCTAAAGTGCCAGTCCTGGGGCCTTGGTGAGACCCTCTGCTGGGGAGAAACTCCACTTCACCTGGGGGTTCTTATTTATACAAAATGGGGAAATGAGGGGGCAGCCAAGCAGCAGAAAACCAAATCATAAGCAAGAACCAAACTCTTGGGGAGTTTGATTCTTTCTGCTACATAGTGCACAAGTTCTGGAGAGACTATAGGGGTGAAGAATAATAAAAGATTTTATTTTTGAAACATCTTGCATAGTTGCCCTGGTTGGAGTGCAGCAGCACGATCATAGCTCCCTGTAGCCTAGAACTCCTGGCTCAAGTGATCCTCTGCCTCAATGTCCAGCATAGCTGAGACAACAGTTTGGAACTATCACACCAGGCTAAATGTTTTTAATGCTTCAAGTTTTTTGTATAAATGGGGTCTCACTATGTTGACAAGGCTGGTATCAAATTCCTGGCCTCAAGCAATTCTATCTCCTCAGCCAATCAATATGCCAGGAATACAGGCATGAGACACCGTGCCTGGCCAGCGCCTTTATAATGTTTTATTCTCCCAAGTTCTTCTCAAAAAAGTCAACATCCACCAAGTATCAGCTGAGATTTGAACTTCAACCCTGGGCTGAACTCAGTGGCAGGACTCTCCATTCCCAACAAGGGACAAATGGAGAAATAAATGGTGAGAGGGAGGAGCTTGATTCTGCCCATGCTAATTGGACACCTATTGTGTGCTAGGAAGACACACAGAGGTCAATCCAAATTCCAGCTCCAGCCACAGCAGGACAGCCATGGTGTAGAAGGCCTAGCCCAGAGGAGGGAGCCTTAGCAAGAGGAACACCCCTCCATGGAGTATTGACATTCTGTTACTTCAGTTATACTGAAAACTAGTAGAAGGTAAGAGATGTTGTACTCAACCATTATGATCAAGAAAATCCATTCAATCTTCTTTAATTTGGTTAAAATTAGCCTTTATTAAAAGGCAGCACAGAGTAATGCTTGCCTGTGAGAATTTAAAAACATCATAGCAAACCACTCCGTTCTCAGTTTAAGAGGGAAGGTGAAAGGCTTGTGTGGGAGAATAAGAAAAAAACATATTTATGTAATACTTTGAGTTTCTATTGCTCCTAACCACCATTGCTACATAATTATTCCAAATTATAGCTCTTATTTACCCATCCTACTGTTAAAAAGTACCTCACTGATTCTGTAACCCCCAACTAATCCACCCTATAGTCCCTAGATGACCAGAGATGCCTATTATCCTCTGCTTTTTACTGTCACTCTCCCCAGTCCAGCAAACTCATTCCTCTTCCTGCATAAGCCTCCTGTGTTTCTGCCTTTTTTTATCTGCACCCTCTGCTGAGATTCTTTTGTCTTCACCCATCCCAAAGCCATCCATACTTCCACTGCTTGACTAGGGGTAATTATCTCATTCACCCAGCCTAATTTTTAACCTTACCTTCCTGCTCCCACCCTCTCTTCACTCTGAACAAGATTTTACTAGGTTGTTGTTATGTTCTGGGGTTCGGAGAATCTGACTAGTGTGAGTTTCCCAAGGTAAAGGTAATGCCTTAATAATTTTCACTTTAATTGCTGTTTGCGCAGTGTTTTGCACAAAATTTAACACAATAATTGCTCCCGGAGTAAATGCATAAATCTTTGTAATATCCTATTTGGCTCCCTTAGAGTCTGAAACTTTTCCCCTTCAACCATCCAGAGTCCTGTCTAACCAAAGTGAAAATGGGGAACTCCCTCTTTCTGGCTGGCATCACTGCTGAGAACGGAAATAAATGCTGTCTATGCCAACTCCCTAGAACAAGTATAGGTTTCGTCTAGACTAGTTTTCAAAATGAGGAAACAGGATGCAGACAAATACTTTATTCCCACTTTTTGGCCTGGGGTTTATTAACAAGGTGAAATTATACAGAAGAATAAATTAGTTTAGCTGAAAAAAGAAAAAATGTATAGTTAATGGAGGGAAAAAATTGAAAATGCAATAAAACCAGAAGATGTTCAGGAATTCAAAGTTGTTGATGCATAGAAATGCTGCTTATTTTTGTACATTGGTTTTGTGTCCTAAAACTTTACTTGCTTATCCGTTTCAGGAGGCTTTTCAAGTTTTCCCCAAAAGTAGTTTTGGAGAGGCTTTAGCATTCTCTACGTAGTGACTCATATTGCAAATGGAGAAAGAGAATTCAATTTCTTTTTCTATTTGTATGCCTTTTTCTTTTTTATTGGCCGATTGCTCTGGATAGGACTTTTAAATCTAATTAAATTGTATTTGTTAGATTTTTGTATATTTTAATATGTCTCCAATTAATTTTATATCTGTATAATGTCCCCTTATAAAGGAATATGTAGCTGTTTTAGTTATTTATTTTATTATTGATGCACATTTGAGTTTTTTTCAGTTTGGAAAAGTACCAAATAATGCTACTTCGAGCACTTTACTACATTGGAAAATATGCTGGCAATTCTATTGGGTGTATATACCTAGTAGCAGAGTTGCTGGGTTCTAGAGTGTGCTTATGTACATCGTGTATGTAAGGAGTTACTACTCAAGTGGTTTTGAATGTGGTTATAACAGTTTGCACACAGAATGGTATAAGAAAGTTCCAGTTGCTTGACATCATCACTAATACTTAATTTTGTCAGTTTTCAAAAATGTTAATGATTGCATAGTGGTATTCAATTGTAGTTTTCATATGCATTGTTCTGATGCATAAGAATGTGGATATGTTCATCTACTTGTTGGCCCTTCGGTTCTGTATGTGGAACTCCTAGTCATATCTTTGCCAATTTTGTTCAATGTATGCATCTTTGTTTATTAAGTGATGGGATTTAGCTTAATAATCTAGATAAAAAGCTTTTGCCAGATCAATATATGACAAATGTTGATTTCCACTTTGTTCTTGCCTTTCAGCTCTCCTGAAGCTTTTTTTTTTATGAAGAGAAGGTTTTAATTCTAATAAAGTCCAATTTGTCATATTTTTGTCTTGATAATTTATGCATTTTGTGTCCCAAGAAATCTTGGCCTGTGCCAAAGTCATGGACATACTTATCTATGTTATCTACTAGAAATATTGTTTTCAATTTTCACCTTAAAATTTAAAATCCACTTGTCTCGAAATTTGTTAACAATATAAGATAGGTTTATTTCTTTCTCACATAAATAACCAGATGACCCAAGGCTAATTACCGAGATGCTGTCTTCTCTCCACTGCTCTTCTGTGCCTGTTTTGTAATATACAAAATGTCTAAATGTGTGAGTCTGAGTTGGACTCTCGAGTTTTTCTAGTTTTCTTTGTGCCTATTTTTGCATTACTACCATAGATAGCTTTTATTACTATAGCTTTAATCTAAGTCTGAATATATGGCATTGTAAGCTCACAAACTTTGTCATTCTTCAGGACAGTTTTTACAGTTCTTTGATTTTTTAATATGTATTTAAATTTTTAAACTGATTAGACAGTTTCCACAAGATTTCTGCCAAAATATTGTATTGTGAAAATGGAAATCAATAAATCAATTTGGGGAGAAACACTAATAACATCTAAACCAAACTTAAAGAGAACACCACAATAAGAAAAGAAATTGCAAAATTGGAATAAATATTTTCAACACATGAAATTACAAAGGGGCTCATGTTTCCATGAAGAGCACTCTCTCTCTCCCTCTCTCTCTCTCTTTTTTTTTTTTTTTTTACAGAGACTCACTCTGTCACCCAGTCTGGAGTGCAGTCGTGCAATCTCGGCTCACTGCAACCTCCGCCTCCCAAGTTTCAGCAATTCTTCTGTCTCAGCCTCCTGAGTAGCTGGGGCTACAGGCTTGGGCCACCATTCCCCGCTAATTTTTTTGTAAGTTTAGTAGAGACGGATTTTCACCAGGTTCGCCAGGCTGGTTTTGAACTCCTGACCTCAAATAATCCACCTGCCTCATCCTCCCAAAGTGTTGAAATTACAGGTGCGAGGCACCACAGCTGACCTGTAAAGACCTCTTAAAAATTAGTTAAAAAACAAACAAAACAGATAAAGAGAAAGAAGAAACATCCACTCAGTTAAAAAAAAAAAAAAGAAAAAGAAAAGAAAAGAAAAAAAGGCAAAAGACATTATTTTACAGGTCTAGTGCCCTGTGCCCCTCACTGTAATGGGGGTGGATATGGGCTTCACAGGACATGAAATTCATCAAACAGTTGCTGGTTGAAGGTGGGAAAATCTTGCGGGACCGACCTCAAGAGCAGATCCTGTGGTGCACTGTTTCATCCTGTAGCCCTGGAAAGAAAACCTGGCTGTGCTGTGCTTTATGTTTGCCTGCACTGGCCCTGTTCAGAGGCCTGAGCACGCATGGACACCTAAGTCTGCCCAAACTTTCCCCATCCCAATATTCTCTGTGGTATTGAGCATGACACCCTGTCTTCACTGAGCATGTGCTCATACAGTTTTGTAGCCAACTCTTTATTTTACAACAGGAAGACTGAGACCTCCCAAAAAGGCAAAGACTGGTCCAGATCCCACAAATTGGGCAAAGCACAGAGTATTAGGGAGGGATCCAGCTTCCTAGGCCTTGCATGCACCCCACCCATCAGGTTTGCTTTGGAAATGAGAGCCCATGAGTCCTGGAAAACCCTGTGCTCTACTTTCTACCTGGGCTTTCTACTCTTCAATGTTGTCACATAGGCGTGCAGGCATGCACACACAAACACATCACACACACACACACACACACACAGGCTTCTAAATTGGAGATCTAAAGTGGAGATTCTAAAGTGAGGTTAGGGAAGAGGAAACCAAAGAAGTGACAAAAGGGGAAGAAACAGTAGATGCAGCTTTGCCATGAGGCAGAGGCATCCACTCCCCCAGCTACATGACCAGGAGCTGACAGCATGCGATGAAGGATCCTCCAGGTTCCCTGGGTTCTTCCAAGCCTGGGGACTTTCCCAGCTGTTTCAAGAGGACAGGACTGGGGTTGTGACTCCCACTTCTGTGGGCACCTGGAACTAAAATGAGCTATGCCCTCCACCCACCACCCCGTGTGATATAAAGACAGGCTACGGGAAAGAAAGCCTTTGTTTTCTCCCTCATAAATAGGGGTACTGAGAAGGAATAATACCAAGGATTCTAGATACTCATAGGTGTCTGCCGCCCTTGGCTTTTCATTGGTAAATCACTGTGCTTTGAGACTCTGGGAAGAGGCTTTTCAGTTTCTAGAGGTCCTTCAGAGAAGAGAGAGGCCTAGAGACTTGGGCGGATGAGGACTTGGAATAAAGCACAATGTGACAATGCACTGGGCTCTGGAGTGTGGGGCCCAGAAAAAATACTAGTTTTTTGGGCTGTCCTTGAGGTCCTCATTCGGAAGTGGAAGAAAATAATGTCGCCGAATGCTGTTAAAATGTTTAATGAGTGCACAGCACACTCAAAGAGGCTGAGGAAAATAGGAATCAAGGGAGGCTTCCGAGGTCACTTTTATGGCCCTTGGAGCCTTCAGATACTGCTCCTTTTCCCAGGGGTCCCTGAAGAGCCACTGCCTTGAGAATTCCCCAGTGCAGGTACCTGTTTTGTGATGCTTCTGCCTGGGACTACAGTGCTAGCGGAGGTCTCTAGGTGGCTGCAGACCCCGTGTTTCTTGTGCCCGCTGGACTTGACTGGAGTAGCTGGAGCCGTGGGAGAGACAGGCTGAGGGCCTGCAGCTCCTGTTATCATTCTTGATCTCCACATTATTGGGTGACCGAAAGCAGGAAGGACTTTGTGATTTTCCATGTTATTTTACTCAGCGACTCTTCCCCTAGCACTCACCCTGTGGCAGCTACCTTGGTAGGTTCACCATGTGGTACCAAAAACGATTATGTTATCCCTGCATCCCCGCGGGGAGCCTACAGTCTGAGGACGGCAGGACAAAAACACTAAAGCAAGTACATGCGAAAGAAAAGAGCATTTTATAATGGAAATAAAGTAGAATGTTGGGAGGGAGGGCTGGGGAGAGGTTGCCTGGAGGAGACATGAATGCCTCCCTGAGGTGACATTATGTTGTGACGAGAATGACAACTGCGCAGGTGTGGAAAGTGTGTCAGGGAAAAGCCACTCTTTGTGAAAAGACTCAGAGGCACAAGTCAGTTTAGCAGAGGAGGTTATAAAGGGACAAGTGTGGCTGTAGGCAGCCTGAGAAAGAAAGGAAAAGAGGGGAGGGTGTATCCTGGGGCCTGAAAGAGGAGATTAGTCATTTGCCGCTCTCTGACAACATTGCCCTGAATTTTAGCACATTTTGACAACAAATACTATCTCACAATTTTTGTGAATCAGAATCTCGATATAGCTTAGTTGGGTGCCTCTGCCTCAAGGTCCCCTATGAGGCTGGGGCTGTGATTTCAACTGAAGCTGGATTTGGGGAGAGATCAGCCTCCAATCTGCCTCATGGAAATTGGCAGGATTCAGTGTGAACTGAGAACACCAGTTTCTTCCTGTTGATTGGCCTGGGCAGTTCCTCAGTTCTCTATCATGTGGGTCTGTGCCTAGAGCATCTTAGGACACTGGAGATCGCTTCCTCATCTTGAAGAATACAATAGAGAGATGGAAAATGAAAGAGATAGACAGACATATGCACAGAAAAAGAGAAAGGGAGACAGAGAGATTGAGAGACGAAACACAGGACAGAGCAAGTGGGAGGAAAATAATAGCTGTTTTGGAAATATAACTTTGGAAGTTGCAGTAGACTATGTGATTCCCCACCATATTCACATTCCAGAACATTAATCCCCAGTTTAATGGCCTTAGCAGGTCAGAGGTAATTAAGTCCTAAGCATGAGGCCCTCGTGGTAGAGATTACTGGCTTTGTAAAAGAAACCGCAGAAGGCTGTCTGTCCTTCTCTCTGCTAAATGAGAATACAACCTGAAGTCTGGAGTTCGAAACTCAGAAGAGAGTCCTTACCAGACCACAACCATGCTGGAAGCCAATCTCAAATTTCTAGCCTCCAGAACTAAAGTCTTTTGTTTATAAGTTGCCTAGTCTATGTTTTTTGGTATAGAAGCCTGAACTAAGTCAGAAGTGATAACCTATCACATTTGTTGTATTCTCTTTGACAGAAACTAGAACCAGGTCCCCAAAGAGTTCAACCAACGACTAGCAGAAATTCTTCAGTTTGCAGAATGACAGATAAGAAAAGATAGAACTTGTTGAAAGAATGAAATTTATTCCACTTATGAGACTTCTAAAAAGTGGCTAAAATTGGTTGGAACCAATATGGTCAACTGGAGTCTGTGTGAAATAAGCTCACTGATGTAAGAGCCCAAATTTCCATCACATGTTTTGTACTAACTGTCCCCAAATTTGCACATGACCTGTGTGTAGCAGGAAAAGATGGCTGTTCATGCCCAGTGACTTTCCATACATTTTTCCTTTCAGCAATTCCCTGCTAAACAAGAAGCCACCTCTTAAACCTTTCTGAGAATATTACTACCTTTAAGTAAGCACAGGGAAAGAGGCTTCAGCTGGAATCCAATGTCTTTGTTGGAAACCCGGTGTTATAGTACCGGCTTCTGAGGCACTGAGCGGTGAGCTGCGTTTTTAAATAACAGAGTCACTCACAACTTAGTGTTGTTGTGAGACTTTGTTGGGGGTGCCCACCACATAGGCTGAGATGAAGCATATACATGTGATTCCAAATATAATGCACAGCACTGGAATATTTAATGCCAGAATACAGTATCTGATTTTCTTTTGATTTCAACCTCTTCTGCTGTAGAATGGAAAAATAAGGCCATATATATAAAATATATATCTTTTATGTATACAGATATATGAAATATATATCTTTTATACATAAAGGTGTATATGTATAAGTTTATATATTATATATAATATATAAATATAAATTATATATACATAGTATATATATTTTTTTGAGACACAGTCTCGCTATGTCACCCAGGCTGGAGTGCAGAGGCATGATCAAGGCTCAATGTAATCTCTGCTTCCTTGGCTCAGGTGATTCTTACACCTCAGCCTCCTGAGTGGCTGGGATTACAGGCAAGCATCAACACATCTGGCTAATTTTTGCATTTTTAGTGGAGAAGGGTTTTTGCCATGCTGGCCATGGCTGGTTTCAAACCCCTGGCCTTAAGTGTTCCACCCATCTTGGTCTACCAATCTGCTAAGATTACAGGCAAGAGCAACTACATCCAACTGATTTTGATTCATTCTATCTCATATATCGCCAATGACTCTTTCTGGAAGTTGATGCTAGCCTAATCCCATTATGCATACTTCAGGGCTGGGGAGAACTGAAGCACACAGTCATTTTCATATGGTCACAGAAATGAAAAGGAAAAGAAGATTTTAATCCAACTCTGTTCTCTCAAACCTGGGGCCCTGGCTGTATTTAGATCTTTTTGGGGAGTAAGAGGCATAATTGTGTTTGCATAACTGTTTACAGGAAAAGAGTTGACATGGGAGATGAGGGTGAGCAATCAGCAGCCCAGTAGGGACTTTGCATAGATTTATGGAGGAAAAGGGCTCAGGGGATAAAACCTTGAAGAAGTTAACAGACTTCCCTTGTGACAGAACCTAACAGAATTTAGAACTTTGGGAAACAGAAACCCACATTCTAGAGAGAGCCCTCTATCTAGCTAATTTCATGGGAGATGCTTGAGAGAGTACTGTGTTCTCATTGTGTGCTATATTCCTAAGCTGTTGCCTGAGAAAGGTTCAAAGTGAGAGACTTTTCTGACCATATACATATTGGCTCAGCCCACATCCTTGATACCACTGGCCATTCAACAAGAGGCAAACAGAGGTAACACAGTGAAGCCCAGGTCAGGTCCGTCCATGCCAGGCCACCCGTGTCATCTAATCTGGGCAACCCGACCCTGTCTACCATTACCATGTGTTGCAGGGGGAGCAGGAAAGGAGGGGGCTCTTTCTCACAGGGGCAGGCTGTAAGGCATTGGAACCCTGGCGGCTATGTCATGTTCATACCCAGGTCATGGCTGGTGGAATAAAAAGTTGAGCATTGTGGACCAAGTGTGTCTACTCAGATGTGAATCCCAAGGCCTTAAGCTGTCCTCGGGTTTCCTCATTGGCTGGGGGTCTATGCAGATACTCCTATGTTCCTGATCTAGGAAACAGAATTTCTAATGGAGATGTCACCTGGTGGTAAAAACAAAGGAGATAATTAATTTTTTTTCTTTTTTCTTTTTTTTTTTTTCCTGCTTCACTGCTGGGAACACTCTCTGTAGAGTTTCATTAAAATCATTGAGCAGATATTTGATGGGTTCAAGTCCCCCATCTCCTTGGACAACTGGCAGGTTCACCACACCCCCAAGCATGGCATACAGTGAGTTACGGTGAGAGCAGGCACATGGGGGTCTCTACAGACAGGGGTCTGACAAAACCAGGATGGGCCCAGGATCCAGACCCAAATATGGAATTTCTCTGGGCTCTCTCTTAGGGGATTTCCATGAGTGACCCAAAGATGTGCCTCCCAAAAATCTAGCCTTAACTAGTCCCAAAGGCAGCTTGGTTAAGTGTAAAGTCCCTTTTTACATTCTTGTAGAAATATCAGAGAAGGCCTTTGTGTTGTTTTTACTTTACACTAGGCTGTATTTATTCATGTTTCTACAGTTTGTATGGTTTTAATTTTTCCCCCCTGGTATCACCTGTAGCAGGCAGGTTCACGGCACTGCCAGACCTTCCCCAAGACTTCAAAGCCACCACTATCACTAATACTCTAGAAAAATAAGGAAGAGTTTACATGAAAAGGGGGTTATATTGTTCCCTGCATTTGTCTGCAACGTGTCATCTCAGAGAACACATCCCTCTAGCCCATCAGGGCAGAAGTGGTGCCCTCACATCTCTTTGTAATGTTCTATAATGGGGGTCACTTCCCAGAGTGGTTTAGCCTTTCAGTGACTATTATTTCTGATCAAAATGGAATAAAACTAGAAATGAATAACAGAAGAAAACAAAAATAGCAACATATATATGGAAATTAAACAACTCACTTTTGAGCATGCTCATGTTTAAGGGTTGTAAGACTTGATATTATGAAGAATGCTCATGATGCCTAAAGCGAGTTACAGATTCAATGCAATCCCTTTTAAATTAGCAATGTTTTTGAAATAGAAAAAGGAACCAACAAATTATATGGAATGTCAAGCGACCATAAAGAGCCCAAAAATGTTTTAAAAAAAAACAATGTTAGCGGCCTCAATTTTCTGATTTCAAAGCACATTACAAAGCAACAGCAATGAAAACAGTTTGTTTCTAGCATAAAGACAGACAATTTTTCCAATAAAACAGAAGGTAGCACACATGTAAACCTCATACATATGAGCAAATAGCTATTTGCATACCAATATTCATTGCAGCATTATTCACAAAGGCCAATAGGTGAAAGCAACACAAACTTTCCTCATAGAATGAATAAATAAATATAATTTGTAATACAAAAGTAATGGAATATTACTCAGCTTTTAAAGGCAGAAAATCTTGTACCATCCACAATAAAGAGAAATCTTGAGAACATGATGCTAAGTAAAATTAGTCACAATAAAACAGATACTCTATGATTCTACTTATATGTAATATCTAAAGTATTGAAACTTAGAAACAGAAAATAGAATGATTTTTATCAGGAGCCAGGTTGTAAGGAAAATGGGTAGTTGTCATTTCATGTGTCCTGAGTTTCAGTTTTGCAAAAGAAAAAAGTTTTACAAATATGTTGCAAAGCAATGTAAATACATTAACATGACTGAACTGTATAAGAAAAAATATTAAAGATTCTAAATTTTATGTTATGTATTTTTACCACAATCGAAATTAAAAATGACACCCAAGGGCCAAGAGAGATGGCTCATGCCTGTAATCTCAGCACTCTGGGAGGCTGAGGCATGCAGATTACTTGAGGCCATGAGTTCAAGACCAGCCTGGCCAACATGGTGAAACCCCAGCTCTATGAAAAACACAAAAATTAACCAGGCGTGGTAGTGCACACTTTTAATGCCAGCTACTCAAGAGGCAGCAGCTGGAGAATTGCTTTAACCTGGGAGGTGGAGGTTGCAGTGAGCCAAGATTGTGCCACTGCACTTTGGCGACAGGGTGAGAGTCTGTCAAAAAATAAATAAGTAAAGACACCTGAAGAGAGAGAGTTACAAAGTTTTTGAAAAATTATCTTCAAATCGCATAAGTCTTTCTTTCACACTAGGATAATATAAACAATAGATGTTGAAATTAAGACAATTTCCATGATTACTCACTTAGACAGAATCAATTATTGTCCATCAAACAAGAAGAAAATACACAAGTCATAAACAAAATAGGGGCAATATTTATACAAGCAAACAAACAATTAAATCATTATATTAACAAAAGACCATAGGGATGCTTCATATTTTTTGCCTCACACTGTCTTAAGCTGTACAGATTTGAATATTGTCATAGAAAATTATATTATATAAATTCAAACTAAAAACAATAAACTGATGTAAGGTGCCCTACCCTAAAACATGAAACACAGAAATGCAAAATTGCAAAACAAACTTAAAAGAAACCTTCCCCGAATTCTTACTTGAATAATGTAATTCAAAATCATAATAAATAGGTAGAAAGTAAAAACACAATTAACTGCTGTGAGACAGCCTACTCTAAAAAATACAGAAACATAAATTCTAAAACATAATTAAGAGAAACTTTGATCTATAAAATCCTGAATAAACATAGTGTCCAACTGAAAAAGAATCCTAGGTAACTACAATTTTCAACTCTTCCTTTGAATCCATAAAAAGTATAAATTTTGAATTACTTGGATACAATTAGGGCAACAACATTTCAAAGAAACCATATTATAATTATTAAAAAGAGATGTGATGAGAAAGTTTTAAGGAATAAAAATTTAAGTAATACTAGAGAAAGTTTTAAATTATGCTACTGATGCATTGCTTCTTTCCTTACACAAAAGGGTAAGGCTGTAATCTAGCCTTTAATAGAAAGGTCTTACATTTTTACATATGGTAACAATATAAATATTGTAAATACAGTATAAAACATTGACAGATAAAATAAAAACTGGAAATAAATTGTACTATTAGTCAAATAAAAGTTGGGAAAACTGGAAGAAAATGCTAATAGTAATATTGTGCCTAGAGTCAATTAAACATACAAGCCAAATATTTTAATAATTAATTATATAATTGATACATAACATATACATTTGAGCATGCTGTTTTACAACTTCTCAAACTGAAATTACAGAAAAATGTGACACATGATAATTCAGAAAGTGAAAACACAGTCATAGTAATCTTCATATTAAAGAAAACAGAATCATAAAATAATAAGTGAGAAATAAGGTAATAATTGTGAATTCAATATATGTTGAACAATATTCTAATTTCTCTTACGGAAAAAGTTTTTGTAAGAAATCTGTAAAATGAGTACTTACAATAAACCATCCTACAGTAGAGGCTGTTGGCATACAGTGTTTAAATTTCTATGATTAGGTCCTACTAAGGAAAAGAAAATTTTAAAATAAAATAATTAGATTTTCCTATTTAATAAGATAATTTTTGCCTATAAAGTTTTTCAGTCTAATTTTTTTTGTAGAATTAGGTTTTAGCCTTCATAAAACTTGACATTATGAAGCAGAAAACAGGTGTCATCTGTCTCTGTTGTTCCTGGAATTTCTAACCCAAATGCCAATTCCTCCACAACTCCCCTCACACACTTCTGAATTGAAGCACAACAGATTTATTAAAAATGGCATAACAGCGGTCTCCAGAAATGTGCAGAGATTTTCCCAGATCCCTAAAAGCAATGACAAACTATTCAGATCATTTAGGTTCTCACAAGATTCTGGGAGGACTTCGGCTTTCAGTGTGAATTCACTGGAAGATTCTAAGAGAGAGGAAGAGAGAGAGAATGTGTGTGTGTGTGTGTGTGTGTGTGTGTGTGTGTGTGTGTGTGTTGAAATCAGAACCCCACCTTATGTGTTTATTGTGGAATTTGGAAATGAAAGCCTAAAGCCCAAAATTAAAATCACACATAATAGCACGTTGCAAACTGTTTTCTGTGCTAGATGGGTCGTTCTAGGGTGTAGGACCCTGGTAACACCGTTTTCCCCTCCTTCCGGAAAGAGCTACTCACACTGCTCAAAGCCTGCATCCACATGTACCATGTCGAAGACCAGCTCAAGAGCCTGGACCCATATGCCACCTTCAGCAGGGTTGACTGCAGCTCCTTGTTCTTCCTGAGCATCTTCTCCAATGGTGACCTGAGAGTTGCGGGAGGCATTGGGGCCAGGATTGAACAGAGGAAAAAGGAGCATGGAGGCCAGGTGCTGAGGACCAGGCCATCTTACCTGGAGAGTTCTGGCCCTGAGACATCCAGACCAACATGACGTTTAGGTGCAGACAGCTGGCCCTGGGTGGCCCTGTGCTGATCACCGGCCTCGGCCCCTCAAACAGTGGGAAATGGAAGAATGGCTTGGAAATGGGCCCTGTCGACTGTGTGTCATCTGAGCACATTCTCCCAGGGGCCCAAGAAGGGCCATCGTGTCTCCAGAACCAGAACTGGAAGGTAAACTGTCAGGGGGGACAAGGAAGAGGGTCCTCAGTTGGGTGGAGGGTCTCACAGCAAGACGCCTGGCTTAATCAAACTTGGCCATTCCTGAAGCACGTTCAGTGACTAAAAGTGCCTAACATGAGCAGCTGGAACCCACTCCCTGAGAGCTGCAAGATCCATGGGGACCTCATGTACCTGTTTGTAATTACAGACAAGGACCAGCAGGCAGCATTACCGCATCCACATGGGGCTTTTGCTGGACACAGTAAGTCTCTGCCAGCCCCTCCCAGGCTCCTGGGATGCCACTTGTTCTGGATCTGTGGACAGATAACCAGGATACTTGCTCAGTGTCCATCCACTCCTTGTGGCCTGAAGCCTATCGCTCAACCCTAGCCCCACCAGACCTGCTTCCTAAGGCATTCCTCTTGCCAGAAGGAAAGGCAATGCCTTTGTCCCACAGCCCCTGCCTTGTGTCATGTCATGTGGGGGTATGGAATGAATCGGCAGCCGAAACTCCTGTCCTTCTGCCTGAGAATTCTATCTTCTCTGTCTGAGTTACCCTCTAGGGAGCTGTCAGTGGGAGAGAGAGCAGCTGTGGAAGAGAGTCCCACCTGCTTCTGTTTGACTTCAGGGCAGCCTCTCAGGGCAAGAACCCAGAGCAGGTGGAGGCCTCACAGAAGCCTGTGGCAGGGCTCTGGGCTTGATGGGCTGAGCATCTCCCTATCTGCTGTCTGCAATGGGGCCCAGAACCATCCATTCAAGAGGGTCACCACCATATTGCAGGTGTGCAGCTGGACTGTTCCCAAGGCAGAGGCTGCCATGGACTGCAAGCACACAGAGGATGTACACCTTGAGCGTGGACTATGAGGAGAACATTTTTGAAGAGGTGCATGCAGCCTGGCCCTGCCTTCACTGGGAACCCCCTTCCTTCTGGGTACTAGACAGAATTCTGTACACTTTCCTGGAGGCTCCATTCTGGTCTGTTCATTTGGAAGTTTCAGGCTGTCTGTGAGGAAGTAACAAAAGAGATGTCTCAAAGCAGGTTGTGGGGCACAGGCTGAGCCCTTGTCTCCCTCCCTAGTCCCTCTGCAGACACGGGGCTGGAAGAAGGACCTGTGGATAATGAGGGAACTGCTCTTCGAGAACCGGCCTGAGCAGCTGCTTCAAGAAAGAGCCACATTAAAGGTGCCTATAGCCCCTGATGAGGGAATGGCAGCCTCAGGCCCGCCTGCCATCTGTGAGCAGGTTTTCTTGCTAACAGGATGAAAGCAAAGAAAGCTGGAATGAGCCCAGCCCTCTCAGGCAGCTTGAAGGCTGTTGGGGCTCTTTCCAGGCCTTCTAGCCTTATGCTTTTTGGCAGGCCACTTAGGCACCTTTTTCCAGCCTCTGAGACTTCCATGCTCTGGAAGGAGAGGGTCCCACTTTTCACTAGGCTATGGGGCAGGCCCATCCAGCTCCCGGCTGCCACTAACAACCATGGGGCTCTCACCTGGGCACCCACTGCCCAAACATGGCCCTTCTAAGGCAGAAGATCATGTGTCTTGCAGTTTCAGCTTGCTAGGGCTTAAAAGTTATCAGTGCTGTTATTAAGATAGGGAAGTGAGAAAGGAAAACTTGCTGTAAAAGTTTCCCATAATCTTACCACGGAGATCATCAGCACAGATGACAGCACAGGTGGGGCTGCTGGGGAGGCTGAGGGAGAGTGTCCAGCCTGTTCTGCCAGCTGGTCCTTGCCAGGGGTGTCTCGTGACCCAGTCCCTTAGAGAAGCATGCAGATATCTTAGCAAGTATCTGGAAGGTGCAGATCAGGGCAACCCAGCACCACTGATGGTGGAGTGGGCCTACCTCCCATCAAGCTGTGTCTCCACAGCTGACCCTTGAAGCCAGGAGGTGATTTACAACATGTGCAAGGCAGTGAGCTCCATCAGCTGTGTGGCCTTCAACATTCACTTCAACTCGGACATCTCACCAGAAAGCAGTGGGGACTGGCCAATGCAGAAGCCTGCAAAGTGGAACAGAGCGTCATGGGGTGGGGGATGTGGGGCCTGCCTGCTCATCTGAGCACTGCTCCCTGAGGGTGTGATCTGCAGGCTTCCTGAAGGAGGGCTGTGAGCTCATCTGCGAGGCCCTGAGCCTGTGGAACATGGCTGAGGCCAAGCCCATGGGGATTTGTGTCTACTTGCACCTCCTTGCTCATCTCAGTACACTACAGGTGACTGTGCCGAGGTGGGCCTTGAGCATCCCCTGGGCTGTGTTAGCAAAGGGCTCTGGGCCTGGCCTGGCATTGAGGGATGGCAAATAAGGGGCCTGGGGTTGCATTGTCACCCCCTATGGTAGCATAAAATGAGAGAGTCCGACCTGCAGGACTGGAACCCTATCAAGGGGGTTAGGAGGCTGCTCACTTTCCCTCAGGGACCCATGTGGAGGAGCTGAGGGAGGTTAAGGAGACCCTAGGGACTCACTTGTTCTGTCTGGGCTTCCCTCTGCTCCATCGTTTGATGACCATTTTCTGGGAAGAGCTCAGGAACCTCCTGTGCTCTAGTGAGACGGGGCCTCCCCTCACAGGGTATTCTGAGACTGTGAGTGAGAAGCTAACACAGTGCCTTGCAATACTCACGGGAGCTGTCATCCTCTGTGACCATCACGTGGCCTTGTAGTGTTCAGACTGCCTGGCCTGCCTGGGGTTTGGTGAGGCTGTTTTGTGGTCAGCTGCTTTAGAAGCTCACTTTCTCTGCAATCAAACAGTGACTGTTTTCATGTCTGTTTATGGGTTTAAAAAATCCTAATATTTCCTTTATAGTAGTTTCAGCTTGCATGTGTTTATTTGTATAAATTTTAGTGGAATAAAGAGAGCTTAAGACAACAGCATTTTAAGGTCTTAATGAGGCATAGACTTTCATGTCACAACAGCTAATGTTGACCTCTGTTTGCTACCTTTGTGTAAAGTATACACATAAAGTACAGCCAGAGGTGACTAGAGCTGAGCTGCTTGGGCTTGCTTGCTGGCCTGCAGTCAGGTGGACTCTGGCTGCAAGGCGGTGCCCACCCTGGATCTACATCCCCCACTCTCTCTCCTTAGTCTCTGAGTAACCAACAAGGCCGTGCTAATGAGCGGGCGAGTGATGGGCATCGCGTACCCCAATACTATCTGGGAAGATTTGAATGCCAACTGGGCTGGAGCTGTTGGGATTAGGGGCTGTGGCTGCCTTGGCTTGTCATGGTGCCACCCACAGATGTGCCTGCCCTGTGCTGCTTCTCCAGCAACCGGCTGCCCATGGCCCTGAGCCTGTCACACCATGCTTGCTACCTCATGCTACTTGTGTTTGAAAAACCCATCCAGAGATGGCATTGCTGGATGTGAGTGCTGAAAAGGGGGCAGCACCTTTGTCCTGGGGGATTAGGAGCTGACCAGATTCCTCTTGACTCCCTCCCAGAACAAGAGGGGCAGGTGCTGCAATTAATGATGCCCCCCAGAAGATGTGTTTGCACTGGCTGAGGGAATACACGATGCAGAGACCTAAATGAAGACACGTGAATGGGGTGTGTGGGCATCAGTTAGCAACTGGGAAACAGGTGCCTCTCAGGCCTCTCGTGCTCCAGCAAGAGTGGAATATGCCTGTGCCCATGAGTGTAGACATCTGGAGTGTATACATTTGGCTGCTGCTTTTGCTGCCACTATCCCCAGGTCCAACCTGGCTTGAAGTCCAGGTTTTAAGTAAAAAAATAGGAGGCTTTTTGCCATACAGCTACTTGAGAGGCTGAGGTGAAAGCATCACTGGAGGCTAAGAGTTTGAGGCTGCAGTGACCCATGATTCAGCCACTGCACTGTCAGAGTGAGACCTGCGTGCACCCTTCTACAGATAATAGCTCTGGGGCATTTGGGGATCCCTACAGTCCGGGACATCTCCCTGTCCCCTGCTGCCTGTGCTTCTTCCCTTGCCTGCTGTCAGAGCCTAACATGGAGGAGGAGGTTGCTGCCCTGTGAGCCTGAGGGAGCTGTGTCTGACTGGGACTTCTGTCTGGGGTTTTGTGAAGAGCTACTTATGAGTATGGTCTGTACAGATACCTTGTTTCAAAGAAAGTGAGCATGAGCTAGCAAGTGTAGCCACCCCACAGCTGATAAACAACTTTGTCTTGTTTTTAAATCATCAATCTTCATTTCACATTGGAATAAAGTAATTGAAGCCTGCTACCCCAGCCTCGCCCGTGTGTTCTGTAACCCAGACTCATTTCGTTGTGTGGGCTGTTGTCAGAAATGTTATAAAAAAAATTACGCATAAATAATATCAAATGTAAAATTATGCTTATAATGTCACTTGAGTGGGTGGTAAGAGGGTAGAGTCACAGGAAATCTGTTGGGGTTTACACCCCTGATACTTACCAAGCTCATGAGAGTGTGGCAGAGGTGATCATCACCTGACATTTGTGGCAGAAGAGAAAAGTCCAGCCTGAAGGCCAGGTAAGGGAGAGGTGCCAGGTTGTGGGGCCAGGCCCTGCGCATGCTGGGCCTGTTATGTCACTGAACATCTAACTGCCCGGGAACCGGCTCTTTTCACATCATCTGAGGTAAGAGGATGGAGAAGCACTCTCCAGAAGTCACACTGCGCTGGGAGAATAGAGGAGAGCCTACAACTCACCATCCTAAGGTAGGTTTTACATTGAGCTGAACTGTCTTCGAGAGCTAATGAGATGGGAGGAAGACAGTCCCCCAGGTGCACCTGACAGCCAGAGCCTATGAAGTTAGGGGGGTTGTGTGGGGGTGGCCTGTTCCTATGAGAAGAGGAGCTTAAAGCTACTAAAGCTGGTGGCTGCTGCTCTGCCATCCCTCTACAGAGCAGGCAGGTCCTCAGCTGCATGTATAGCTGAATGTCTTTTGGAGTGTTAGAGAGTCCTCTATGTCTTAGAAATTTTGAAAAGAAAAACAAATCTCAATTTTAATGTTGATTAGTTTCTCTGAGCCAGTTGGGAAAAAGATGTCCTTCACCTCAAAGATTTAAGTGACACCGAAGGGTAGCCACCAGTGTCTCGGCCACTGAAGCCTCATGCATGCTCTCACTACCAGTTTGATTTGCAGCCCCATAGTTGTGTTGTACTACATATTCTTTCCTCTGGCCTTGTCCAGTGAACACGGTTCACATGGCTAACACCACTTCTTGAGATGCGAGCACCATGCAAAGCTGAGAACGGATTGGGTTTTGTGACGATTGTGCCTCCTCCTCACCTGAGAGGCCCATTTTTCCTGGTTGATTCATTAAGTGTATTAGTGCTGTCAGTCGCCTCTGGACAATTGAAATGACAAGTGGCTGTTGATTCATAAAGAAAATGAAGGCTTTAGATGTGAAACCCTCGTTTTCTCTTGTCCTTCTCTTAGGTGAAAGATTTTATTTTTTTCAAAAGGCTACATACTGGTATCCCAGCAGGTGTAGTGTGAGAACTGGCATATGTTAGGCTATGGTGTCAGTGTGGATGGGCAATTCTTCAAGATGGAAAACCAAGTCTCACTGAGTTGCTGGAGCCACAGTGACCTTTCTCCACATCCCCCACCATGGGCTTTCACTTTTCTCCTGTGCTTGAATTTTTTTCACATACAAATTCTTTATACACACACACAGACAGACACACACATATCTCACTCTGTCAATGCAGTGGCTGAATCATGGGTCACTGCATCTTCAAATTCTTAGGCTCCAGTGATGCTTTCAAATCAGCCTCTCAAGTAGCTGGGACTACAGGCATGCAAAGCTACACCCAGACAATTTTTAAATATTTTTCTAGAGACTGAGCCTACTTATGTTGCTCAGACTCGTCTTGAACTCCTGGGATCAAGCGATCATCCCACCTTGGCCACCCAAAGTGTTTAGATTACAGGTATGAGCTAGCACTCTCAGCAAAAATATATTTTAAAGAACCGTTACAACCAAATTATGAGTTATCATTATGCCACTGCCCTCCAGCCTGGGCACCAGAGCAAGACCTTGTATCCAAAAACTAAGCAAAACTAAGCAAGAACAAAAAAAAAACCTTATAACTAAATTAAACTTTGAAGATTGTGTCATCTGTGTCCTTCCCTGCCCTCCAAGCTATCAATGTTAAATATAATGGTTATTGAGAAAATGGTTAGATATTATTAAGAAATTTCTATATATCCTCCAGCTGAGAATAGGTATTCTGATGTGGCCCAAATATTTTCTCACCGCTACCTTCAGGGTCTAAACTAGCAAGTCAGGACACCTGCAGAGGACAGTTGACCATTTTCAAATAGAAAGAGAAATACCCCGTTCATGAGAGTAATCCAGTGATTTTCAAAAAGACAAGACACACTGACATCCAGCGCAGTCAGGGCACAATTACCTTGGAAAAATCACCTCACACAGAATGGTTGAGGAGACTTTCTAAGGTGAGCAAATTTGGGAAACATAATCCTTTCTTATTTATTTCCAGCCCCCGCTGCCCCCCTGATTCCTAATGGTCACACAACAGTGTGGTCAGCAGTGGGGTGCAGTGTTGTGAGAGAGGGGCTCAGGGATGGGATGAAGGTCTTTACCGCGTTACAAAAATGCAGGTTAAAAAGTTGCTAAAAAGATGTCTAAATATTCTAATTCGTACTGTTACATAGCTGCTAAGATGCATTATACAACAGACCCAGGTAAGGGAAAGAGCACGTGCATTTCAAGTCTCAGCTCACGTCTGAATTAGCTGTGATACTCTGGGCACGTGACCCCAAATATAGGAGCCTGTTTGCCTGTCAACCCAAAACAATCCTAAGCAAAAACAACAAAGCTTGAGGCATCCTGCTACCCGACTTCAAACTATACTACAAGGCTACAGTAACCAAAACAGCACAGTACTGATACCAAAACAGATATATAGACAAATGGAACAGAACAGAGGCCTCAGAAATAACATCACACATCTACAACCATCTGATCTCCGACAAACCTGACAAAAACAAGCAATGGGGAAAGATTTCCTACTTACCAAATGGTGCTGAAAGAACTGGCTAGCCACATTCAGAAAACAGAAATTGTACCCCTTCCTTACACCTTATGCAAACATTATCTTAAGATGGATTAAAGTCTTAAATGTAAAACACCAAACCATAAAAACCCTAGAAGAAAACCTAGGCAATACCATTCAGGACATAGGCATGAGCAAAGACTTCATGAATAAAATACCAAAAGCAATCACAACAAAAGCTAAAATTGACAAATGAGATCTAACTAAACTAACGAGCTTCTGCACAGCAAAAGAAGCTATCACCAGAGTGACCAGGCAACCTACAGAGTGAAAGAAAATTTTTGCACTCTATCCATGTGTCAGAGGTCTAATATCCAGAATCTACAAAGAACTTAAACAAATTCACACACACACAAAAAAAAACCATCAAAAAGTGGGCACAGAATATAAACAGACTCTTTTCAAAAGAAGATATTTGGCTGGGCGCGGTTGATCAAGTCTGTAATCCCAGCACTTTCAGCCGTGGAGGCAGGTGGATCATGAGGTCAGGTGTTCAAGACCAGCCTGGGCCGCATGGCGACACCGCATTTCTACTAAAAACACAAAAAATTAGTAGGATGTGTTGGCGGGTGACCTGTAATCCCAGCTTCTGGGGAGGCTAAGGCAGGAGAATCACTTGAACCTGGGTGGCAGATGTTGCAGTGAGCCGAGATCCTTCCACTGCACTCCAGCCTGGGTGACAGAGCAAGACTCCATCTTAAAAATAATAATAATAAGTAAAATAAATAGAAAAAGAAGAAGGAGAAGGAGAAGAAGAAGAAGAAGAAGAAGAAGAAGAAGAAAAGAAGAAGAAGAAGAAGAAGAAGAAGAAGAAGAAGAAGAAGAAGAAGAAGAAGAAGAAGAAGAAGGGGACCTTTATGTGGTCAACAAACACAAAAAAGAGAAAAGCTCATCATCACTGGAGACTAGAGAAATGCAAATCAAAACCACAATGGGATACCTTCTCACACCATGTTGAATGGCAGTTATTAAAAAGTTAGGAAACAACAGATGCTGGTGAGGCTGTGGAGGAATAGAAACACTTTTACACTGCTGGAGGGAGTGTAAATTAGTTCAACCATTATGGAAGACAGTGTGGTGATTCCTCAAGGATCTAGAACCAGAAATACCATTTGATCCAGCAATCTCATTACTGGGTATATACCCAAAGGAATATAAATCATTCTAGCATAAAGACACATGCACTCATATGTCTATTGCACCACTGTTTGCAATAGCAAAGACTTGGAACCAACCCTAATGCCCATCATTGATAGATTGGAAAAAGAAAATGTGGCACATATACACCATGAAATAATATGCAGCCATAAAAAGAATGAGTTCATGTCCTTTGCAGGGACGTGGATGAAGCTGGGAACCATTAACCTCAGCAAACTAACACGGGAACAGGAAAGCAAACACCATATGTTCTCACTCATATGTGGGAGTTGAAAAATGAGAACACATGGACACCTGGAGCCAAAGATCACACACTAAGGCCTGTTAAGGGGTTGAGGTCAAGGGGAGGGAGAAAATTAGGACAAATACCTAATGCATATGGGGCTTAAAACCTAGATGGCAGGTTGATAGGTGCAGCAAACCACCATGGCACATGTAAAACTATGTAACAAACCTGCACGTTCTGCACATGTATTCCAGAACTTAAAAACAAACTAACAAAAGTGCACTAAGTCTGAGGGGGAGTGGGGGTAAGGGCAGGAGTCAGGCGAGGGTGGGTGCGTCCTGGAGTTTTATCCAGTCATTGACACTGATGTGGGAACCGCCCAATCAGGCGCGCGGTGGCAGAGGAGAGGAAAGGAGGGCGTGGCTTCCTGCATTTGGCGGGATCTGTGTCTCTCGCTGGTGCTGGCACAGGAGCTTGGGATCTGTCTCCTCTTTCGCCTCCTGCACCTTGAGAGCCCTGGGCTACTCTGTCACAGCCCCTGTTGCCCTGCGATCTGTAGGTCCTTGGGGACGCATAGTTAAGGTGCCAGGACATCCTGGAAGCTGGGAAATGGTGAGTATACGGGGTTCGCCATCCCGAGAGGGGAGAACAGACTGTGAAACCGGCAGGACCGGCCTCCCCACGGTTAGCTCCGAGTCTCCCGCAGCTTGGCCCTCAGTCCCCTGTGGCTGCAAGATGGCCGCTGGGCCAGCAGCGAGGACCCCCACGTCCCGTCCGGCCCATCCGGTCCTGTCCCTGGGCAGCGCCCTGCTCTGCGCCCACAGCCATGAGTATTTCCCAAATTGTTCAGGGAGGCCAGATGGGTCATCAGGGAAAAACCGCGAGTGGGTGTTTGCGTGGGAGGAGCTGCGGCCCGTGGGGTCCACAGTCTCTCGTGTTAAAAATTAACGGGAGTCTATGTTAAAAGGTTCATCAGTTTATCTGAACAAAGAGTGATTGGTGAAATGGAAAGCACCCAGCCATGATTTCTGGTCCACCAGAGGGGCATAAAGGAAAGGCTTTCATAAGATGCATGAGAAAGCAACCCAAATTCAAGAATTGGTTCCAGTTATATGGTAGCCTTATTTGAACTATCCAGATGGAAATGTCCTGGTTACATATTCAGAGGTTAATTGCATGTTTGTCATGGGTTAAACCTGCATTTTGCTTCAGGCTAAGATAGTGTTTTATAGGAAATATATTTGAGTTAGGTTTTAGATTTTTTTTTGTTTGTTTTTTGTTTTTTACCTATGAACACAGGGCACTAGAGCCACTTTAGACTAATTTTCTGATCTTTAATTATTTTAACACTCCAGAGGAGGACTGGTTTTCTCCTGTGTTTTTTTAATGTATGGCAAGTGGAACCTCTAATCGACCACCCTGTTTTTCATCCTAACTCAGGCTTGCAGTAAAATTATCAGTTCCCACTTTCTTTGCTGCATTCTCAAACGCAACACATGAGACCAGCTTTCCCTTGCCAATTTACAATGCTGTTAACTATATGTCCTTTATTATACATTTCGTTAAAGTTTTCTATTATTGGGTTTCTTTCTACTTCTCCCTACAGTTCTGGCAATATTTGCTTTTTATATTTAGAAGCCTCCCTTTTGGGTGCATAAATATATAAAGCTATATTCTCTTGAGAAATTAACCTCTATTATTGTATGGTAAACTCATTTCATTCTTGTGAGAGACATTGCTAGAAAGTCTATTTTGTCTAATTTAAGCATTACCATTTCACTCCTTTGGTTATTATTTGCATGGAATATCATTTTCTATCCTTTCACTTTTAGCCTATGCTCTTAATTCATAATTGAGTCTCTTGTAAGCAGCATATTATGAGGTTTAAAAGATTAATTTATCCACTCTGTCTGCTTTAGTCTCTTTTGGCTGCTATAACAGAATATCACACACTGGTAATTAATAAAGAATAGAATTTTATTTGACTCATGATTCTGGAGGCTGGGAAGCCAAAACAACATTATACTGGTATATGTTGAAGGTCTAGTTGCTGGATAATAACATACACAAAGATGTGAGGGAGAGAGAGCTTTTTTTTTTAAATATATAACAGATCCATTCTTGTTATAATTAGCCCATTCCCATAATAAGAACGTTAATCCATTCATGAGGGCAGAGTGCTTATAGCTTAATTAATTTTTAAAGGTTCCACCTGTTAATTCTAACATGTTGGCTATTAAATTTTATCCTAAATTTTGGAGATGACATTCAGTGTACAGCAGTATCTGTTTAGTAGATACTTTAATCTTTTTATTTGTAAGGTAGTGATAGGTAAGCAGTTACTATTGTACATTTGTAGTTTTCTGTCCATTTTAAGTTTGCTTCTTTTTTTTCTGGTTCTGTCTTTCCTGTGGTATTGTTCATTTTTGTTGAGACAAAGTTATGCTTTCTTGCTCAGACTGAAGTGCAGTGGCATATCACAGCTCACTGTAGCCTTAACCTCCTGGGCTCAAATAATCGTCCCACCTTAGCCACCCAAGTAGCTTGGACTGCAGACATGTACCACAACACCCAAGGAGATTTGATTCTTCCACCTTGGCCTCCCAAAGTGTTGGAATTATAAGCAGGAGACACCATATCCAATGTGTAATTTTTGTTGTTTGTGTATGCTTTAATTACTTTCTCTTTTTCTTTACTATTTTTTTTTCCTACTGGTTATCATGAGACTTATGTAAAACATCTTGTATTTTAATAGTCTAGTTTAAGATGATAACAATTTATAGTATTCTGAAATTCAGTATGTATTTACCATTTTAGTGACATTTATACTTTAGTATTTTTCATATTGTTAGTTAGCATTTCATCATATCAATGTGAAGATTTCTTCCAGACCATGGCTGGAGAAGGAAAGAAGGTGTGTTTTGCCTGATTCAGGGACTATAGAGAGAACCAAGTTCTGCAGGCCTGTCATCTAAGTCTCAGGTGAGTATGAATTCTCTTGTGTTTTCCACAGACTGTTGCAGTGTCAGGACCAAGGTCAAATGAGTTATAGCCAAGTCTACAGTAAGATGTGGCAGTATTCTGTTTTGAAGCGAGGACCATGATTGGCAAGCTTGCCACTTGGTCAAGTGCTTACCCTCTAAAGATGTCTTCCTTGGTCTTTGCCTCCAGCTGGGTGTCACAAACTCTGAACTGGATTCCAAGGCTTTCATGAATGCACTTATGTTTGCTGTGGCAGCTGCATTATGTCGTGGGGGATGTGGATGCAGAACCTCCCATTCTGTCGTCTTGCTTATGTTACTCTCCTTTATGTTTCACTTTCTCAAATGAATGTCAAGCAGGTGATTTTCAGATTCAAAAGTTCTAAAATAAATTGCTCAAATTTACACATTATGTAAGCTGTTAATAAAATTTCTTGTAGGTGCTACATATTTATTAAAATTTTTGGTTGTAATTTTAAGCTCACTGTAGGCAGAAAGGAATCATTAAGATTTCTATTCTTTTTTAGTCTGTATCTAAATGACCATATATTTTAATTCCAAATATTTACTTTATACTTCAGTAATGCTCATTGTATTTTGCAAAATTTATATTGTTCTTTTATTTGAAAATATAAGGCTTTTTTTAGCTCCTGAAATCTATATTATAGTCATATAGTTTTATTATAGTATTTGATAAGAAGAGCAGCAACATATTGAGAACAGAATAAAATTCTGCTGTCTTTTTAATGATTATTTATTAAATTCTTCTCATTAAAGCCTATTATTAATGATTGTAATGTATTTACTGTATAATTTTACTGCAATTTATTAAATGCCAATGACTTCTAATGTCTGCTTTTCATGACTGCACACAGTTTAAAGCTGTAGATATCTAAAGGGTTATTTTTCAGCCCGGCACGGTGGCTCATGCCTGTAATCCCAGCACTTTGGGAGGCCAAGGTGGGTGGATCACGAGGTCAGGAGATCAAGACCATCCTGGCTAACACGGTGAAACCCAGTCTCTACTAAATATAGAAAAAATTAGCCGGGCATAGTGGCGGGTGCCTGTATTCCCAGCTACTCGAGAGGCTGAGGCAGGAGAATGGCGTGAACCCAGTAGGCGGAGCTTGCAGTGAGCCGAGATGGCACCACTGCACTCCAGCCTGGGCGACAGGGTGAGACTGTCTCAAAAAAAAACAAAAAGGGCTTATTTTTCATTGTATATTTATGTTGTATTCAGGATTTTATGCATTAAAATCTCTCTTCTTATTTTCAGTTCTGTGTTGTTGTGTTTCTTTTCTGGGGGGGTATGTTTTCTCAGAGCAGTTAATTGTATTTTTGCTTTTAAAGCTTGATATCATGAGTTGAATGATAATTTTTTAACTCGGTACACATTATGACAATGTGATATTTAATTTATATTTGAATTAGCTGTGTTTGTTGCTTATAGATATATCTATGTGTTTTTCACCTATGTAAGTATGTCATTTTTTTCATCTTTTTTCCTTGTTTTTTTTTTTAAGTTTCAGATATGCTTTCTTTTTCTTTTTTTTGTTTTTTTTTTTTTTAAAGAGAATTTTAAAACAGAGTCAAATGAACAAAAATCAGTTATTTGTCCTCTTGCAGGGCGGGGAGACCTTCCTTCCCCACGGGTTTGAGGCTATGGCTAAGTGGTGAGCCTTGGTGAGACGCAGAAAGGATCCATCCCAGGCACTTGGCTAGAGGTAAGTAAAAATAGCCTTTGGGCCAGAAGACCTGATAGTTTGGGTACTCGTCTGGACATAAGTCCCCATCTTCCCAGAAATGTCGTCTTTTGTCTGCAACAACTGGCTGGAGAAATATTTCAGAAAGATGTGTGCCTGGAACACCCAAAGGCATACCTTTCCTTTCTCCTTGGCATAGGCCTTGCAGCACTGAAGAAAGACCAGGTTTGCAACGGAGCCTTCAATACTCTTCATCCCTATGGATCTCAGGGGCTCATAGGGTGACAGGAGAGGAGACAAGCTAGCTTGGGAAGAGTCTTTGTCCTTCAGCTTCTCCTCTACTGAAACACTATATACTTGGGGCCACAGTTCATAGCAAAACACACATGCTGTCTTTCTTTCTCTCACACCCCCATCTCGGGAACCCAACAACTTGATGGCAGGTAGCTCTGGGTATCCTTGGTCTGGCATTCACCCACTGGGCATCTAAGCTGTCCTAAAGCTCTTTTCAATCACTTCTCACTGTTTCCAGGCCCATGTGGGTAGGTGTTCCAGCCTTCACTCTTTCAGGCTGTTCATAAAGGCACAGTGTGGGAAAATCCCCTACTGTGATGGCCATTGCTGGGAAGCAGGGAAGGTTAAGGGCCCACTGCTGCCCAAGGCTAGTGTAGACACCCTCTGCTCCTCCACTCATCTCCTCAAATAATGATATCAGGTGCAGCAGCTGCTGTCTGGAATGTTATCAAACCAGGACTGCACAGGCACTGCATTCTCTGTGTGGAAGATGTAAGAAGCAGGCGAGTTGTCCAGGATGAGTTTTCCTCAGGTCCCTCCCCAGATGGCTGACGTCCTTGACATAGCAGCCCTGGTGAAACAAACATGACTCATGGGACAGGCAGCCCCAGACCATCCCATACCCGTCCAGCTCACCCGTCACAGGATCTGCCTACTTGTTCAGGCTGGGAAGAAGAGAGCAATGACGAAAACACATTTAAACATTTCCTCCATTCATGTCAGGAACTCATCCATATAAGGCCTCATGAGCACATGGATCTGGTGCATGGTCCCCTCAAGCTCTACAGGCACTAGGCAGTCAGCATTGCTGATTGGCTTAAAGGAGCTATGCACAAGGGTTTCATCCAGGTCAGTGACCATACAGATCCTTCCTTGATTTTTCTCTGTCACCTCTGGGAGCAGGCAGGTTCCTGGGATCTGATAAAACTGATATTGGAGACGCTGGAGCTGATCCGACATAGCAATGGTGTTGACTCCCTCCTTATGTGTGGATTGCTCAGCGGGGGAACTTGACTGTCCAACATGCTGGGTGCAAGAACAGCAGAAAGGGGACTTTTAAGATGTGGCAAACATGAGGCCTCTTCGGAGAGGACTTTGGAAACCAGGCCTTGCTTGGTAAGGACCAGGGCATCTTCCCTCCATGCCTGGGTGATGATGGAGCCTTGTTCCATCTAACAATCCTGAGGGCTGGGCTGGGGGGCATGGGCTGGGGCCTGATTCAGTTCCCGAGATTCTGACCTCCACAGCTGTTCACATACCCCTTCTCCTTTCCATACTGGCCGGGAAGGGAGGTGGCTTGTAGGGAGGGTGGTTGGCCTTGGCAGCGGCTCCCCAGTGTGCCCCCATCCCCGATTCCCCCAGCGAGAGCTTCAAGATCCTCAGTTTGGGTCTAACATAGAGAATCCACCAGAAACACATTTTTTTTTCAAGTTTTATTTTAAGTTCAGGGGTCCATATGTGATAAAGTTTATTTTTCAACTTTTATTTTAAGTTTAGGGGTCCATGTGCAGAGTATGCAGGTCTCTTACATACATAAATGCGTACCACTGTGGTTTACTGCACAGATCATCTCATCACCCAGGTACCAAGCCCAGCATCCGCAGCTATTCTTCCTGATGCTCTCCTTCCCCTCCCCCATGCCATGAAACAGGTGTCCAGTGTGTGTTGTTCTTCCTGATGTGTCCATGTGTTCTCATTGATCTGCTTCTGCTAATAAGTTAGAATAATAATAGGCGGTGTTTGGTTTTCTGTTCCTGCATTAGTTTGCTGGGAGTAATGGCTTCAAATTCCAACCATGTCCCTGCAAGGGACATCATCTCATTACATTTTATGGCTTCATAGTGTTCCATGGTGTATGTGTACCACATTTCCTTTATCCAGTGTATCATTGATGGGCATGTAGATTGATTACATGATGTTGCTATTGTAAATAGTGCTGCAATGAACATTTGTATACATGTATTTTTAAAATAGAATTATTTATATTCCTTTGGGTGTAATGGTATTGCTGGGTCAAATGGTAGTTCTGCTTCTAGGTCTTTGAGGAATCTCCACACTCTCTTCCTCAATGCTTGAAATAATTTACACTCCCACCAACAGTGTAAAAGTGTTCCCTTTTCTCCACAACCTCGCCAGCATCTGTTTTTTTTTTTTTTACTTTTTATTAATAGCCATTATAATTTGTGTGAGATGGTATCTCATTATGGTTTTGATTTGTATTTATGCAGTTATCAGTGATGTTGAGCTTTTCATGTTTGTTGGGCACATGTATGTCCTCTTTTGAGATATGTCTGTTCATGTTCTTTGACCCTTTTTTAATGGGGCCTTTTTTTTTTCTCTTGTAAATTTTGTTAAATTCCTCCTAGATTCTGGATATTAGACATTTGTGAGATGGATAGGTTGCATAATTTTTCTCCCATTCTCTAGGTTGTCTGCTCTGATGATAGTTTCTTTGGCTCCGCAGAAGCTCTTTAGTTTAATTAGACCCCATTAGTCAATTTTTGCTTTTGTTGCTATAGCTTTTTGCCTTTCTGTCATAAAGTCTTTTCTCATGCCTATATCCTGAATGGTATTATCTAGATTTTTTCTTCTAAGGGTTTTATAGTTTTGGGTTGTACATTTAAGTCTTTAATCCATCTTGAGTTAATTTTTGTACATGGTGTTAAGAAGGGTTCCAGTTTAAATTCTCTGCATATGGCTAGCCAGTTCTCCTAGCACCATTTTTTGAATAGGGACACCTTTCCCTAATTCCTTGTTTTTGTTAACTTTGTCAAAGATCAGGTTGTTGTAGGTTTTTGGCTTTATTTCTAGGTTCTCTACTTTGTTTCATTTGTCTATGTGTCTGTTTCTATACCAGTACCATGCTGTTTTTGTTACTGTACTCTTCTAGTATAGTTTGAAGTTAGGTAGAGTGACACTTCCAGCTTTTTTTTTTTTTTTCTTAAGGTTGGCTTGGCTATTTGGGCTCTTTTTTGGTTCCATATGAACTTTAAAAGTTTTTATTTTTCTAATTCTCTGAAGAATGTCAGTAGTTCAATGGGAATAGCATTGAATCTATGAATTACTTAGGGCCATATGCCCATATTCATGATACTGATTCTTCCTCTCCATGAGCATGGAATATTTCTCCATCTGTTTTGTGTCCACTCTGATTTCTCTGAGCAGTTGTTTGTGGTTCTCCTTGAAGAGGTCCTTCACTTTCTTTCTTAGCTGTATTCCTAGGTATTTTTTTCTCTTTGTAGCAAATGTGAATGAAAGTTCATTCATGATTTGTCTCCCTGCTTGCCTGTTGTTTGTGCATGGGAATGCTAGCTACTTTTGCACATTGATTTTATATCCTGAGATTTTGCTACTGTTGCTTATCACCTTAAGAAGCTTTGGGCCTGAGACAATGAGGTTTTCTAGATGTAGGATCAGGTCATCTGCAAACAAAGATAATTTGACTTCCTCTCTTTCTATTAGAATACTCTTTATTTCTTCCTCTGGCCTGATTTTCCTGGCCAAGGCTTCTGATACTATATTGAATGGTAGTGGTGAAAGAGGGCATTCTTTTCTTGTGCCAGTTTTCAGGTGGAACGTTTCTAGCTTTTGCACATTCAGTATGATATTGGTTGTGGGTTTGTTGTATATGGCTCTTATTATTTTCAGGTATGTTTCTTCACTTCCTAGTTTATTGAGAATTTTAAACCTGAAGGAATGCTGAATTTTATTGGATGCTTTTTCTGCATTTATTGAGATAATCATGTGGCTTTTTATTTAGTTCTCTTTATGTGATGAGTCACATTTATTGATTTGCATTTGTTGAATCAACCTTGCATCCTGGGGACAAAGCCAACTCCATTGTTGCAGATGAACTTTTTAATATGCTGCTGGATTTGGTTTGCCAGTATTTTATTGAGGATTTTTGCACAGTGTTTACCAAAGACATTGGCATGATGTGTTGTTGTTGTTGTTGTTGTTGTTGTAGTATCTATGTTAGGTTTTGGTATCTGGATGATGCTGGCCTGATAGAATGAGTTACAGAGAACTTTGTCTTCAATTTTTTTTGGATGGTTTTAGGAGAAAAGGTACCATCTCCTCTTTGTACCTCTGGTCAAATTCAGCTTGCTTGGTAGGCTAGTTATTACTGCCTCAGTTTCAGAACACATTATTGATCTATTCAGGGTTCAGTCTTGTGGAGGGTTTATTTTGCAAGGAAATTGTCTATTCTAGATTTTCTGGTTTATGTGCATACAGATGTTTATAGTGTTCTCTGATGGTTGTTCTTATTTCCATGGGACCAGTGATGATATCTCCCTTATTATTTCTAATTGTGTTTGGTTCTCCTTTCTTTTCTTATTTATTTGCCTAGCTAGTGTTCCATCTAGTTTATTAATTTTTTTCATAAAACAGCTCCTGGATTTGTTGACTTTTTTTTTTTGGAAGAGTTTTCAGTGTCTCTATCTCCTTCAGCTCTACTTTGATCTTGGTTATTTCTTGTTTTCTGCTACCTTTCTGGTTAGTTTTCACTTGGTTTTCTAGTTCTTTTAATCAAGATGTTAGGCTGTTAACTTTAGATCTTTCTAGTTTCTCTTTTTTTTCTTGTGGCAGAGTCTCACTCTGTCACCCAGGCTGGAGTACAGTGGCATGATCTCTGCTCACTGCAACCTCCACTTCTCAGTTTTAAGTGATTTCTGCTGTCTCAGCTTCCTGAGTAGCTGGGATTACAGATGTGCATCACAAAAACCAGCTAATTTTTGAATTTTTTTTTGTAGAGGTGGGGTTTTGCTGTGTGTTCCAGGCTGGTCTTGAACATCTGGCCTTAAGTGATTTGCCTACCCCAGCCTCCCAAAGTGCTGGAATTACAGGCATGAGCCACCACGCCCAGCCCTTTCTAGCTTTTTGATGTGGACATTAGTGCTATAAATTTCCCTCTTTTCTTGGTTTCCAGTGATTATTTTATTCTATCTTGGTGAGTCATCAGGGAAATAATCTTAAATTTACAATCAACATATAGTTTAAATCCATATAATTGTGTGAGAATAACCCTTTGTTATTTGAAGGTGATGTTTGAAAGGTTTTCTAACTGTGCCTTTTAGTTAGTCTTAAATTTCTAATTGTAGTTAAAAACATGCCATTGTCATTTCTGAAATTTTAAGTATATGGTTTAGAAGTGGTTAGTATAGTTCTATTGTTTTGCAGTAGCTTTTAGATAATTTTTGTCTTACAAAAGTAAAAGTGAATACTCATTACTTGTGAAAGAAGTTAGTTAGCTTACCTTAGGTAGATAGCAAGAGAAGAGTCCCTGGAAAGTCCCTGGTCAGTGCCTCATCCCTGCATAACATGTAAAGAAGCCTGGAAAAAATCAAGCTGCAGACACTAACAAGGGAACTAACATATGTTGTTGTGCTTGGAGACATGCCCGTGGCTGCAGAGATAGAAAAACCTCTGGCCCATTTGGATAAAAACTTGTACAAACCTCCAGCTCACTCAGATAAAGGAACAAGAACGACCTAGCACAGAAATGCCTTTGTTTGGCCAGCCACGGTGGATCATGCCTGTAATTCCAACAATGTCGGAGGCAGCTGTGGGCGGATCATCTGAGGTCGGGAGTTTGAGACCAGCATGACCAAGATGGACAAACCCTGTCTTTACTAAAAATACAAAACTAGCCAGGCATGGTGCTGCATGCCTATAATCCCAGCTACTTGGGAGGCTGAGGCAGGAGAATCGCTAGAACCCAGGAGGTGGAGGTTGCTGTGAGCCGAGATCGCACCATTGCACTCCAGGCTGGGCAACAAGAGCAAAACTGCAAAAAAAATAAAATAAAATAAAAAAAGAAAGTACATCTCAAAAAAAAGAAAGAAAGACAAGAAAAAGAAAAAAAAAAGAAACACCTTTGTCTTTGTACAGTCAGTGGGCTCCCAGGAAAATGTTCCTTCTCTTTTTGTTGGCATGGACACTGTGGAATCTGGTACATTCCGGTAGACATTCTCCTTTATTTGGACTGTAAGTCTGACCTCTATGAATAATTACTTCAGCCCCTGATTGCTCCCGTGCCAAGCTCCTTGGCCAAACTTTCACCTTAGCTTCTGGTAAGTCTTGGGCCAAGCTAAGCAGCATCTATCAATCATCCCTTCAGCTCCTGATTGGTCCTGGGCCAAAGGCCTGGGCCAAGCTGAGCCACACGTTTTTCAAGACAGCCTGTGAACTAGGCACATATCCTTCCCTTCCCAGTCCATAAAAACCCTGGACCCAGCCTCGTAGAGGGCACCACTTTCAGACACCTATCTCTGCTGGCAAAGAGCTTTCTTCTCTTGCTTCTTAAACTTTCACTCCAACCTCACCTTTGTGTTTACACTCCTTAATCTCCTTAGAGGTAGAACAAAGAACTCTGGATGTTATCTCAGACTACGAGAGACTGTTACATCTTGGTGCACTGCTGAGACTATGACACTTGGTTTCTTTGAGTTTGACTAAATATTTTACATGAGTGTAATTATACAGCTTTCCTTTTTGACTGTCTTATTTTACTTAACAGAATGTTTTGAATATTTGTCCTTATTGTAGTACTTTTCAAGATTTCCTTATTTTTAAGGCTGAATGCTATCCCAGTGATTGTACGTGCCCTGTTTGCTGAATCTACTCATCCTTAAGGGTACATTTGCTTCCAGGTAACATGTTTGTGACTAATACTACAATGTGCATATATCTATTCCATGTTCTGCTTTGTCTGTTTGGGATATTTTTCATACACTGATTCAGTACCATGTGTATTCCCTTGCTTTTGTTGTCTCATCCGTTGATGTTACGTCCCCCAAATTATTGCCACGACCAGTTGTCATGAAGCTTCACCCTTCTGTATTGTGCTAGGAATTTTACAGCTATAGGTTTTACATTATAGTCTTCATTCATTTTTTAAAATTGACACATGTAATTGTGCATATTTTGGGGAAACAATTATATATATATGTTGTATAACAATAAAAATCAGAGTACTTCTATACTTGTTGCCTCATGCATTTGTTATTTTTGTGGTGAGAATATTCAAAAGCTTCTTCTCTAGCTATTTTATTTTATCTTTAAGTATTAAATTTTTTTAGAGACAGGATCTTGCTCTAACACCCAGACTGGTGTGCAGTGGTGCAATCTTAGCTCACTGTAACTTCAAACAGTCTTCTAACCTTAGTTTCCCAATTAGCTGAGACTACAGGAAGCTGCCACCATGCCTGGCTAATGTTTTAATTTTTCATAGAGACAGGGTCACACTATGTTGTCCAGGCTCATCTTGAACTTCTGACGTCAAGTGATTCTCCTACCTCAGTCTCCCAAAATGTATGGATTGCAAGAATGTGCCACCGAAACTGGTCTCTTTTAGCTATTTTGTAATATGAGATAACTTTTCATTAATTATTATTATTCTACTGTGTAATAAAAAACAAAAACTTATTTCCCCTATCTAATCATAACACAATACCTGTGAAGCAACCTTTTCCCATCCTCCTGCTTCAGTCTCTGGTAACCCCTGTTGTACTCTTTGCTTCTATCAACCCTTTTTTTCAGGTTCCTCAAATGAGTGAGATAATAAGATCATAAAGTATTTGTGTTTCTCTATGTGGCTTATTTTACTTAACATGGTATGCTCAAGGTTCATCCATGCTCTTTTAACTGACAGAATTTTATGCTTTCTTATGGCTGAATAGTATTTCGCTGTGTATATATAGTACATTTTCCTTATCCATTTATCTGTTGCTGTACATTTGAATTGATTCCATATATAAGCTATTATAAATAGTTCTGTAATGAACATGGGAATGCAAATATCTTTTTGACACAGTAATATCCTTTCTTTTGGATATACACCCAGAAGTAAAATTGCTGGATCATATAATAGATATATTTTTAATTTCTTTCAGAAACCTCCATACTATTTTCTATAATGGCCATACTAATTTACAATTCCACCAACAAGGTATACATCCACTCTTTTTTATATCCTCATTAGTTCTTGATTTATTTATTTATTTTTATTATAGCCACTCTAATGGGAATGAGGCGGTACTTCATTATGGTTTGGATTTGCATTTCCTTGGTGATTAGTAATGTAGAGCATCTTTTTATGTTCCAGTTAGCATTTTTGTATCTCTTTTTGACAAACATCTATTAAGATCTTTTGCATTTTTAAAGTTAGATTATAAGTGTATTTTATTTTGAGATTTTAAAGTTTCTTATATATTCTGAATATTAGCCTTTTGTCACATGTATATGAAAACATTTTCTGTCATTGCCTAAGCTGTCTCTTCAAACTTCTAGTTGTTTTTTTAATATGGAAAAGCATTTTAGTTTGACATAATGTTGTTTGCTTATTCTCGATTTTGTTGCCCATGTTTTGAAATCTTATTTTAATAATCCTTTCCCCATCCAATGTTATAAAGCATTTTTTTATGTTTTTCTCTAATAGTTTCATAATTGATGGCATTACATTTAAGTCTTTAGTTTTAGTTGATTATCATATATGGCAAGGTACAAGGGTCTAGTATTATTTTTCTGCATATAAATATTTAAGTGGCCCTGCACCATTTATTAAAGAGATTAGCTTTTCTCTAAAGTGTGTTCTTGGCAATTTTGTTGACAATCAGTTGGCTTTAGGTGCATAAATTAACTTCTGGGCTTATTCGGCACATTAGTCTATGAGTTTGTTTTTATGCCAGTACAGTGCTGTTTTGGTTACTGTAGCTTTATAGCAAGTTTTGAAGTTTGATGAAGTGATGCCTTTAGCTTTGCTTATTTTGCTCAAAGTTGCTTTGTCTATTCAGAGTTTTTTGTGGATCCATATAAATTTAAATTTTTTTTATTTCTGTGAAAAAATGTCATTGGTACTTTGATAAAAATCACATTAAGTCTGTAGATCACTTTGGGTAGATAGATCAAGAGTATTCTTCCAGTGTATAAACACAATATTTTTTCATTTATTCATTTGTATTTTATATTTTTTATCCATGTTTTGTCGTTTTCAGAGTAGAGATCTTTTACCTTTTTAGTTAAGTTTGTTGCTAGGTGTATTAGTTGGGCTTCCCTAGAGAGATCATGAGATCCCACAATAGGTTGTCTGCAAGTTTGAGGAGCAAGGAGAGGCGGTCCATGTCCCAAAGCTGAAGAACTTGGAGTCTGATGTTTGAGGGCTGCAAGTGTCCAGCACAGGAGAAAGATGTAGTCTGGGAGCTTAGGCCAGTCTCTCTTTTTCACGTTTTTCTGCCTGCTTTATATTCACTGTCAGCTCATTAGATGGTGCTCACCCAATTAAGAGTGGATCTCCCTTTCCCAGCCCACTGACTCAAATGTTAATCTCCTTTGGCAACACCCTCACAGACACACCCAGGATCAATGCTTTTTATCCTCCAATCCAATCAATTTGACACCCTGTATTAGCCATCACATTAAGTATTTTCATTTTTGTAGCTTTTGCATATGCAGAAGAAGAATTGGATGAAATTCAGCCTTCATTATGATGAAAACTCTCAACAAGTTAGGAATAGAAGGTATGTGCCTTAATACAGTAAAGGCCATTTATGAAAAAGCAATGCTAACTTTATACTGAATAAGGAAAAGTTGAAAGCTTTCTCTCTGAGATCTGGAACAAGACAAATCATCCAAACTTTCAGCCCTCTTATTCAACATAGTACTGGAAGTCCTAGCCAAGGAAATTAGGCAAGAGGAAGAAATAAAAGTTATACTAATTGGAAAGGATGAAGTCAAATGGTCTCTCATTGTGGACAAAATAATCTTATATGTGAAAAACTCTAAACACTACACCAAAAACTATTAGAACTACTAAACAAATTCTGTAACATTGCAGAAAATTAACACAGTAGTAGCTTTCTGTATGATGATAGCGATAAAATTTTAAATTCCATTTTAATAGCTACCAAAAATTAGTTATTTTGAGTTTATTTCTTTATTTGTGGTGGAGTCTTTCTCTGTCACCAGGCTGGAGCGCAGTGGCATGATCTCAGCTCACTGAAACTCTTGCCTCCCGGGTTCCAGAGATTCTCCTGCATCAGCCTCCCGAGTGTGTGGAACTGCAGGCGTGTGCCACCACTGCCAACTAATTTTTGTTTGTATTTTTAGTAGAGACGTGGTTTCCCCATGTTGGCCAGGATGGTCTTGATATCCTGACCTTGTGATTCACTTGTCTCTGTCACCCAAAGTGCAGGGATTACAGGTGTGAGCCACTACACCCAGCCTTGAGTTTATGTTTTTATCTGGTGCAAGGTAAGGTCTAACTTTGTTATTTTTTCCTTGTAAATTTTTATTATTCCCAATACTGTTTGTTGAAGAGACTGTTCTTTCCTTTTTGTGATTCTTGGAACACATTTTAAAAATATGTTTACTATACCCATGAGGACTTATGTCTGGACTGTCTCATCTGTTTCATCATTCATTTGTCTTTATGTCAGTACCAAACTGTTTTTATTACTATATCTTTGTAGTATGTTTTGAAAATAGAAAGCATGATGCCTCTGTCTTTATATTTTTTTCCCAATATTTTTTGGCTGTTTGTGATAACTTGAAATTCCATAAAAATTGTAGAATATTTTAAAACTTCTGCAAAAAGTTTCATTGGTATTTTGATAGAAAGTATATTGAATCAGCTGAGGGTCGTGGCTCATACCTGTAATCCCAGCACTTTGGGAGGCTGAGGAAGGTGGATCACCTGAGGTCAGGAGTTCCAGACCAGCCATGGAGAAACCCCATCTCTACTAAAAATACAAAATTAGCCAGGTGTGGTGGCACATGCCTGTATTCCCAGCTACTCAGGAGGCTGAGGCAGGAGAACAGCTTGAACCCAGGAGGTGGAGGCTGCAGTGAACTGAGATCGCACCATTGCACTCCACCTTGGGCAACAAGAGCAAAACTCCGTCTCAAAATAAATAGAAAGAAAAGAAAAGAAAGAACATTGAATCCGTAGACCACTTTTGGTTGTAGTGACATTTTAACAATATTAAGTCTATAACCTCTTGAACAAGAGTGTTTTTGAGAATTTGTTGTTTAATTTTACTTATTCTTTGACATGCTAGTGTTTTTAACTTCTTGTTTTATTGTATCATAGTTAGGAATAATTTGTGTAATTCCATCTGCTTAAATTTGCTAAGATGTGTTTTTTAACTTAACAGGTGGTCTATCTGGAATATTTTGGCATGTGTGATTAAAAGTATTGCATATTCTACTGTTGAGTGGAGAGACATAAATATGACTGTTAGGTCTAATTGTTCTATTGTGTTGTTGAAATCCTCTGTTTACTTATTCATCTTATGTTTGTTTTTTAATTTACATTACTAAAAGTCTGATAAAAAAGTCATCTACTGTTATGTGCTGGCTACTTCATGTTTCAATTCTGTAAAATGTTGCTTCATATTTTGGGAACTGTGATGTAAGGCACATACATTACTGTTGCTTTTATTGTTGTATGTTGTTTTATTGTTGCTTTTATTGATGTATGTTGTTTTTTGTTGCTTTTATTGTTGTTGTTTTTATTGTCTTTTTCTTCTTCTCTCTTGAGGAAGTTTTTGATATAATATATATTTTGTCTACCATGACAATATTTGATTTTGCATTTAATTTTTTTTATTCTTTCATGTATGGCTTATGCGTGTTCCAGATCATAATGTGGTCATTTGTAGGAAGCAGAGAGTTGAATCTTGTTTCATGAATTTATTTAGTGAAAGTATGTTTTTGATTGACATAATTTATATATATAAAAAATCATTACTAAAAGGGAATGATTTCCTATGACTTTCTATTGAATTTTGTTTCTTTTTTGTTTTAGGTCCTGTAGCTTTTTCTTTTGAGAAGGAGTTTTGCTCTGTTGCCCAGGCTGGAGTGCAGTGGTGCAATCTTGGCTCACTGCAAGCTCCACCTCCCGGATTCACGCCATTCTCCTGCCTCAGATTCCCCAGCAGCTGGGAATACAGGCACCCGCCACCATGCCCGGCTATTTTTATTTTTATTTATTTATTTTTTTTAGTAGAGACAGGGTTTCACCGTGTTAGCCAGGATGGTCTCAATCTCCTGACCTCGTTGATCCCCCCACCTCGGCCTCCCAAATTGCTGGGATTACAGGCATGAGCCACAGCTCCTGGCCTGTCCTGTAGCTATTATTTCCTGTTTTTCTCTCTTGTTCTCTTTCTTAGCGTATTATTGATTTTTATAGTGACATGTTTTACTTCTTTTCTCACTACTCTCTCTGTGTGTATGTCTTTGTGTGTGTGTACTATAGGTATTTCCTTTTTTTTTTTTTTGACAGGGTCTTGCTCTGTCGCCCAGGCTGGAGGGCAGTGGCACAATCTCTGCTTATTGCAAGCTCTGCCTCTCAGGCTCAACTCAAACAATCCTCCCACCACAGCCTTCTGAGTACCTGGGACCACAGATGTGCACCACTACTCCTGGCTAATTTTTGTTATTTTTCATAGAGACAGGGTTTTGCCATGTTGACCAGACTAGTCTCAAAATCCTAAGTACTATAGGTATTTTCTTTGTTGTTACTATAGATATTACCAAAAATAACTACTATAGCATATAAAACCCTGCCTCTTTATGGCTCCCTATGTGTTTTATTGATGTCGCGAATTACATCATTTTATATTGTGAATCTATTGGCACAGTTATATAGTCATTTTTAAGTCTTTGTTATCTCAACTACATAGCAGAATTAAAAGTATTCTGTGCATCTTCATTATAATAACAAAGAATATTATAATTCTGTACATAATTATCTGTTAGAAAACTTTATATTTTACATAATTCTATGTTGCTCTCATCATTATTTTATTTTTTAATGTGAATGACTAGCATTTTTTAATACAGGCCTAGTGTGCATAAATTAATACAGTTTTCGTTGATCTTGAATATTCTTTATTTTTATTTTTTAATTCATTTGAAATGATAGCTTTGGCAGACATAGTGTTCTTGGTTGGTATTTGCCATTTTTTTCAGCACTTTGAGTATGTCATCCTACAACCTCTTGCCTGCATTCTATTGGCTGAGACATCTGCTGGTCATCCTATAGGGGTAACATTGTACATGCTAAGTCATTTTTTCTTGCTGACTTCAAGATTCTCGGTGTTTTAACATTTGAATCTCTGATTAAAATGTGTCTTGTCATGGGTCTCCCTGTGTTGCTACTAGTTGGTAAAGTTTCATTAAATTTTAGGCCATTTTCTCCCTCAAATTTTGAGAGTTCTCAGCCACTGTTTGTTTCTTGAAATAACTTTGCTGCTCTCTTTTCTCTCTTTTTATTTTAGAATTCCCATTAGAAGTATATTGGCCATCTTAATGGTATCCCATAAGTCCCTTAGGCTTTCTTAATTTTTAAAATTATTTTTACCCTCCTCACCATATAATTTCAAATGACTTTTTATGAAGCTTGCTGGATTTTTTCCTGCTAGATCAAACCAGTTGTTGGACCTTCTAGTGAATCTCTAAATTCAGGTATTTTATTTTTCAGCTCCACACTTTATGTTTCTATTTTATACTTTTAATCACTTCATTGATAATCTCATTATCTTCATGAATTGTTTTCTTTTTCTGTTTAGCTTTCTATGTTCTTCTTTAGCTGAATGAGCATCTTTAAGCTAGGTGTTTTAGCCAGGCACATTGATATTTGTGTCTAATTCCAGCTACTTTGAAAGCTAAGGCAAGGGGATTACTGTATTAATAAATTCTCATGCAGCTAATAAAGACATAACCAAGACTGGATAATTCATAATGAAAAAGGTTAATGGCCTCACAGTTTCACATGGCTGGGGAGGTCTCACAATTATTGGAGCAAGCAAGAGACTTTGTTCAGAGGAATCTCCACTTATAAAACCATCAGATCACGTGAGACTTTTTTGCTATCATGAGAACAGCATGGGAAAATCCCACCCCCATGATTCAATTACCTCCCACAGAGTACCTCCCAGGACATGTGGAGATTATTACAATTCAAGGTGAGATTTGGTTGGGGACAGAGAGCCAAACCATATCAATTACTTAAGGCTAGGAGTTTGAGACCACCCTGGGCAATATTGTGAGAAGCTATATGTAAAAAATATTTTTACAGATTAATCATGAATGGTGGAATGTTCCTGTAGTCTCGGAAGTTGGAGGCTGATGTAAGATTATTCCTTGAGTTCCCAGGAATTTGAGGCTGCATTGAGTTATAACCATGATATTGTATTCCTGTCTGGGTGAGAGAGTAAGACCGCCTTTTAGAATTTCAAATTTGTTTTAGATTTAGGAGGTACCTACACAGGTTTTTTACATGGGTATTTTGTATAGTGCTGAGGTTTGAAATATAAGTAATTCCATCACTTATGCAGTGAGCATAGTACTAAATAGACAGTTTTTCAGTTCTTGATCCCTCCCTCTCTCCACCCTCTAAGAGTTGTCTTTTATTTTTATTTTTATGTCCATGTGTACCCAGTGTTAATTTCCATTTATAAGTGAGAACATCAGTATTTTTGTTTTCCATTTCTGCATTAATTTGATTGTAGAATGACCTTTAGTTGTATTAATGTTGCTGCAAAGGACAAGTTTTTTTGTTGTTGTTGTTGTTTTTGCTAAGTAGTATTGCTGTACATGTGACACTTTTTAAATTCAATTTAGCATTAATAGGCTGGACACGGTGGCTGATGCCTGTAATCCCAGCACTGTGGGAGGCCAAGGTGAGTGGATCATGAGGTCAGGAGATCGAGACCATCCTGGACAGCATAATGAAACCCCCGTCTCTACTGAAAATACAAAAGTTAGCCGGACGTGTTGTCATGAGCCTGTAGTCCCAGCTACTCGGGTGGCTGAGGCAGGAGAATTGCTTGAACCTGGGAGGTGGAGGTTGTAGTGAGCTGAGATAGTGCCACTGCACTCCAGCCTGGGCAACAGAGTGAGACTTCATCTCAAAAAAAAAAAAATACCATTAATAGTCACGTAGGTTGATTCATGTCTTTCCTGTTATAAATAATGCAGTGATGAACCAACAAGTGCATGTGCTGTTTTGGTAGAATAGTTTATTCTCTTCTGGGTATACACCCAGCGGTGAAATTCTGCGTTGAATCATAGTTCAACTCTCAGTTATTTGGAAAATCTCCAAGCTGCTCTCCACAGTGGCTGAACTAATTTATATTCCTATAAACAGTGTATAAGTGGTTTTTTCCCTCTAAAACCCCACCAATATCTACTATCATTTTACTTTTTAACAAAAGCCATTCTAACTGGTGTACGATGGTGTCTTACTGTGGTTTTTATTTACATTTCCTTGATGGTTAGTGATAAGCTTTTTTCATGTTGTTTGGCCACTTGTATGTATTCTTTTGAACATTGTCTGTTATTGCCCACTTTTTCATGGGGTAATTTTTTGCTTGTGAATTCTTTAAGTTTCTTATAGATTCTGAGTATTAGATTTTGTCAGGTTTATAGGTTGTGAATATTTTTGCCATTCTGCCAGCTTTGGGGTTAGTTTGTTTTTGTTTTTCTAGTTTCTCTAAGTGTGATGTTAAATTGTTAGTTTGAGATCATTCTAACTTCTTGATGCAGGTATTTAGCACTCTCAACTTTCCTCTTAACAGAGCTTTTCCTACAACCCAGACATTTTAGTATATTGTGTCTCTTCATTTATTTCAAATTTTTTTTAAGTTTCTGCCTCAATTTTGTTGTTTACCCAAAATTCATTCAGGAGCAAGTTGTTTAATTTCAATGCCATTCTGTGATTTTGTGAGATTTTGTTGGTATTGATATTTATCTTTTTTCCATTGTGGCCTGACAGTATGGTTGGCATAATTTTCATTTTTAAAAAATGTATGGATAATTGCTTTATGGCTAGGAAGTGGTCAATCCTAGAGTATATTCTGTGAGCGATGAGAAGAATTTATGTTCCTTAGATGATGTGTGGTGTATACTATAAATGTCTATTAGTTTCAATTGATCAAGTGCGAAATCAAACTCCAGAATTTCTTTGTTAAGTTTCTGCCTAGATAATCTGACAAACACTGTTATTGGGGAGTTGCGTTTCCCTACTATTATTGCGTGGCTACTTGAGTCTTATTGTAGGTCTAGCAGTACTTGTTGTATAACTCTATGTTCCCCAAAGTTGGGTGCATCTATATTTAGGATAGTTAAGTCTTCTTGTTGAATTGAACTCTCTATCGTTATGCAATGCCTTTCTTTGTTTTATTTTACTATTAATGATTTAAAGTCCTTTTTTCTTAAAAGAGAAACAATTCCAGGTATGGTGGCTCATGCCAGCACTTTCAGACTGAGGCAGTAGGATTGCCTGAGACCAGGAGTTTGAGACCAGCCGAGGCAACATAACAACATTCTGTTTGTACAGATTCTTTTAAAGAAACTATACAGGTGTGGTAGTGTGCCCAACTGTGGTCATATTTACTCAGGAGACATAGGAGGCATGACTGCTTTACTTCAGAAATTTGAGGTTACAGTGAGCTGTGATTGCACCACTGCAATCTGTCCCAGGAGATAGAGTAAGATCCTGTGTATAAAATGAAAAAATAAAGAAAAATAAAATGATTTTAAGTTAAAAAATAATTCATAGATCTCCACTTCTTTAGGGTCACTTGAATATATATTTTTCTCGTTTCATTAGGCTATATTTCCTGGTTGCTTTTAAGTACTGTGGTTTTGTTAAGGTTTTGGTCAATTAAGAAACCACTACCTATTTTATCCTTTATGAAAAAGCTTTGTACATGGGAAAATTGACAATATTCAGCCACACTAGTCATTCCGGGAGCTTCTCCAATCTGTTGTCAAAATGTGTCTTCTTTGTACTGTATGTATTTTCTTGTTAATAAGGTTTACCTCTCTTTCCTCTTAGGAGCCTTTAGTCTCTTCTCTTTGTCACTGTTGCAGGCACTACAGTCTCTTTGTTGTAAGAAATATTTATCTTTATTCTCAGTCGACCCAAGCTGTCATTTAAACTCTATCTCTATTCTGGTCAACACTAAATGTTAAAGGTATAAATCAATAAGTCAGAAGTTTGCATACACGTTTCACTCTGTTTTCTTTCCCGAGGGAGAATCATGGAATGGACAGAATTTTATCTAACTGCACTGTTCTGTAGTGCAGAAATGTAACCAAATTTTCTTTCTTCTAAATGTGGTTATGGTTGGCTTTTTTCTCATGAGGGGTGCTACAAACTCAACTGGCTTTGCTCACCCAATTGCAGTTAAGTTCATACATCCATTGAGAGAAACAGGATCTCAGGTTCTTCTTCAACTATCATTGTGTTCTCAGCTGGCCTCATTTTGTTCATTAGATTTATAAAATATATTTACCTTAATTTCATCACCGAATTTTTTAAAAAATTATTATTTTCCAGCTCTTTTAGCATTATATCCAACAAGACCCAGACAAAACAGTACATAGGAGCTTCTTTTCAAAAAGTAATATTGGGAAGATATGGGAGCTCTGGCCTTGAAAATTTACACTTAAGGAGAGTGGGAAATTGAAGGATAAGTGTAAAGGGTACAAAGGATGCTATGATGAATATACCAGATATAGAGCAACTACCTACAGCAAAAATGTCACTGCTAGAAGAGCTCAAAACCATAAAGTATTTTGGAAAAAGCATAATTAATGTTGATTCTTTTTTCTGAACTATATATTTGTATAATTACATATCAATAACAATTTTTGAAACATCATGTTTTTGAAACAAAATTTAGAAAATCGCAATAGTGGCCTAGGCCAGGAATATATCTTCTAATGCTATCCCTCCCATAGTCCCCCACTTCCTGACAGGCTCCAGTGTGTGGTGTTCCCCTTCCTGTGTCCCTGTGTTCTCTTTGTTTAACTCCCAACTATGAGAGAGAACATGTGATGTTTGCTTTTCTACTCTTGTGTTAGTTTGCTGAGAATGGTGGTTTCCAGCTTCATCCATGTCCCTGCAAAGGACATGAACTCATCCTTTTTATGACTGCATTGTATTCCATGATGTATACATGCCACATTTTCTTTATTCATTCTACCACTGATGGGCATTTGGTTTGGTTCAAAGTTTTTGCTCTTGTGCACAGTGCCATAATAAACATATGTTTGCATGTGTCTAAGTAGTAGAATAATTTATAATCATTTGGTTATATACCCAGTAATGGGATTGCTGGATCAAATGGTATTTCTCATTGTAGATCCTTGAGGAATTGCCATACTGTCTTCCACAATGGTTGAACTAATTTACACTCTCACCAACAGTGTAAAAGTGTTCCTATTTCTCCACATCCTCTCCAGCATCTGTTGTTTCCTGATTTTTCCAATGATCACCATTCTAACTGGAGTGAGATGGTTTCTCACTGTGTTTTTGATTTGCATTTATCTAATGACCAGTGATGATGAGTTTTTTTTTCATATGTTTGTTGGCTGCATAAATGTCTTCTTTTCAGAAGTGTCTGTTCATGTCCTTTGCCCATTTTTGATATGGTTGTTTGTTTTTTTCTTGTAAATTTGCTTAAGTTTTTTGTAGATTCTGCATATTAGCCCATTGTCAGATGGATAGATTGCATAAATTTTCTCCTTTCTGTGGGTTGCCTGTTCACTCTGATGATAGTTTCTTTTGTTGTGAAGAAGCTCTTTACTTTAATTACATCTCGTTTGTCAATTTTGGCTTTTGTTGCCATTGTTTTTGCTGTTTTAGTCATGAAGTCTTTGCCCACGCCTATGTCCTGAATGGTAATGCCTTTGTTTTTTGGGGGGTTTTTATGGTTTTAAGTCTTACATTTAAGTCTTTAATCCATCTTCAGTTAATTTTTGTATAACTAGTAAGGAAGACGTCCAGTTTCATTTTTTTGCATATGGCTATCTAGTTTTCCCAACACCATTTATTAAATAAGGAATCCTTTCCCCATTACTTGTTTTTGTCAGGTTCATCAAAGATCAGATGGTTGTAGATGTTTGATGTTATTTCTGGGGCCTCTGTTCTGTTCCATTTGTCAATATATCTGTTTTGGTACCAGTACCATACTGTCTTGGTTACTGTGGCCTTTTAGTATAGTTTGAAGATAGCTAGTGTGATGCCTCCACTTTTGTTCTTTTTGCTTAGGATTGTCTTGTCTATGCAGGATCTTTTTTGATTCCATATGAAATTTAAAGTAGTTTTTTTTCTAATTATGTAAAGAAAGTCAATGGGAGCTTGATGGGGATAACACTGAATTTATAAATTACTTTGGGCAGTATGGCCATTTTCACAATATTGATTCTTCCTATCCATGAGCACGGATTGTTTTTCATTTGTTTGTGTCCTCTCTTATTTCCTTGAGCAGTGGTTTGTAGATCTCCTTGAAGAAGTCCTTCCCATCCCTTTTAAGTTGGATTCCTAGGTATTTTATTCTCTTTGTAACAATTGTGAATGAGAGTTCATGCATGATTTGGCTCTCTGTTTGTCTATTATTGTGTATAGGAATTCTTGTGATTTTTGAACACTGATTTTGTATACTGAGACTTTTTTGAAGTTGCATATTGGTTTAAGGAGATTTTGGGCTGAGACGATGGGGTTTTCTAAATATACAATCATGTCAGCTGCAAACAGAGACAACTTGAGTTCCTCTTCCTATTTGATTACGCTTTGTTTCTTTCTCTTGACTGATTGCCCTGGCCAGAACTTCCAATACTATATTGAATAGGAGTGATGAGAGAGGGTATTCTTGTTTTGTGCAGATTTTCAAAAGGAATGTTTCAAGTTTTTTCCCATTCAGTATATTGGCTGTGCGTTTGTCATAAATAGCTCTTAATATGTTGAGATAAGTTCCATCAATACATAATTCATTGAGAGTTTTTACCATGAAGAGGTGTTGAATTTTGCTGAAGGCCTTTTTTGCATCTATTGAGATAATCATGTGGTTTTTGTCATTAGTTCTGTTTATGTGATGGAATACATTTATTGATTTGCATATGTTGAACAAGCTTTGCATCCGAGGGATTAAGCTGACTAGATCGTGGTGGATAAGCTTTTTGATGTGCTGCTGGATTCGGTTTGCCAGTATTTTATTGAGGATTTTCGCATCGATATTCATCAGGGATACGGGCCTGAAATTTTCTTTTTCTGGTGTGTCTTTGCCAAGTTTTGGTTTCAGGATGATGCTGGATGCATAAAATGAGTTAAGGAGGAGTACCTCTTTTCTATTGTTTGAAATAGTTTCAGAAGGAATGGTACCAGCTCCTCTTTGTACCTTTGGTAGAATTCGGCTGTGAATCCTTCTGGTTCTGGACTTCTTTTGGTTGGTAGGCTATTAGTTACTGCCTCAATTTTAGAACTTGTTATTGGCATATTCAGGCATTCGACTTCTTACTGGTTTGGACTTGGGAGGGTATATGTGTCCAGGAATTTATCCATTTCGTCTAGATTTTCTAGTTAATTTGTAAAGAGTTTTTTATAATATTCTCTAATGGTAATTTTTATTTCTGTGGATCAATGGTTATATCCCCTTTATCATTTCCTATTGCATGTATTTGATTCTTCTCTTCTTCCTTATTACTCTGGCTAGCAGTTTATTTATTTCTTGATCTTTTCAAAAAAACAGCTCCTGGATTCGTTGATTTTTTGGACGGGCTTTTTGTGTGTCTATCTCCTTCAGTTCTGCTGTGATCTTAATTATTTCTTGTCTTCTGCTAGCTTTTGAATTTGTTTGCTCTTGCTTCCCTAGATTTTTAATTGTGATATTATGATGCCGATTTTAGACCTTTTCTGCTTTCTCTTGTGGGCATTTAGTGCCATAAATTTCCCTTTGCACACTACTTTAGCTGTGTCATATTTTAATTTTTAAGCCCTCAATCTTTCTTTTTCATCATGACAGTCTTGACTGTTTTATGTTTATGAAAACTGTAAAATTGTCTACACAGTTTTTACAAAGACTTTACCAAAATATTTTATTGAGAATGTACAAACCTGTCAGTCAATTAGGGGAGAAGTTGCATTGTAGTAATAAATAGCCACAAAACAAAACCCTGAAGGACATCCAAACCAGAATAAAACAAAACATTTTAACAAAGAGAAAAAGAACAATCTCGCAACAAATATGTGCAGTTTATATCACAAAGATGTTCACATCTCCACTTTAAAGAGAGCTTTTAGAAGTTGATTTAAAATATGGGAAAAGACATTATCCCACACCACAGAAAAAATAAATTTAAGCAGCTCTTAACACATGAACGTATTATCAAGCTCAGATGGAATCAAAATTAAATATTTGACAACAGATTCTACAGTTTGAGAGAAATAGAAAAGTGTTTTTTTCTTTTCTCCAGGTCCACAAGTCTAGTTTCTTGGACTCTCTCACTATAATGGAGGTTGTCATCAGCTCCCCAAAATAAGGGAAGCACAGAGCAGATGGTGGCTGAAGGTGGGGAATCCTGTGAAATCATATTTAAGATCATAGCCCGTGGTCCATTGTATTGTAATCAGCTGGCTCAGGAAAGAAGATCTGGATCTCCTGAGCTCTACACCTACTGCAATGGATATGTCAGGAGTCCCGAGAACCTCTGGGGCCCAAACCCCTCCCACCAAAATATATCATCCAGTATTGAGGACTCTGACACCAAATTCTCACAGAGCATATGCTTATGCAATTTTACATTTAATTTCTCATTACATTACAATTGGGAAAATGAGGCCCCAAAAGAGGCAGGGACTGATCCAGATCTCAGGAGGTGGGCAGGCTCCAGAGCATTAGAGAGAGCTCCAGCTTCCTAGGCCTTGGCTCCATCCCACCTATCAGGTTTGCTTTGGAAGTTAGAGCCTGTAGCTTCACATTCAGGGGCACAGAGAATGAGCAGATCCAGGGTTCTGTTCACATGGGGACCTCTCCATGTCAATTTCAAGATGACAGGACTGGGGTTTTGCATCCAGCTCTGAGGGCACCTGGAAGTAAAATGAGCTATGCTCCACCTCAGCCTAATGTAGAGAATGCCTGCAGGAAAGCCTGTTTTCTTCCTCATAAATAGGGCTGTTTGAACTGGGTGACCTCGACGATTTCACATACTCATAAGTGTCTTCCAGCCCTGATTCTTGCTCTGAGACTGTGCAGAAATGCATCCACTCTCTGTAGGTCCTTCAAATCAGAGGGAGGCATGGCCACTTCAGAGGCATCTTGGGTAGATGAAGATGAGACGGAGCTAAATGTTCCAGAGCATTGGACTCTGAGGCTGAAGTCCACGGAAAATCCCAGCTCCTGTTGGGTTCTTAAGGTCCTCATTTGAAAGTGGTAGAAACTAATTTCACTGGATAAGGGGAGGATATCTCATGGATAAATAGCACAACCCAAAAGGTAGAGGCAAATAGAAGGCAAAGGGGGATTCCAAGGTCACTCATTGTACTTGGGGCCTTCAGATTCTGCTACTTTATCCCCTAGGACCTTGAAGAACCAGTGTCTTGAGGACAGAAAAATCAAGATACCTGATTTGTTCCATAGTGCTCCTGCATTGGGCCATAGAGTTAGTGATGGCCTGGAGGTGGTTACAGCCAGCTCTGTTTCTGGTGCCCACTGAGCTTTGCTGGAGCAGCTGGAACAAGTAAGAGTCACACATCTCATGTTGTTATCAATGATCTCCACATTATCAGGTGGTCAAAAGAGGAAGGGATATTAGAGATCCTCCATATAATCACTTAGCCAGTCTTTTTTCCCTTGCGCTCACCCTTTGCCAGCTAACCAGGTGGGTGCAACGTGGTACAGAAAATTATTACATGATGCCTGCACCCCCCAACCCAGGACCAAACATTCTGAGGACAGCTGGATAAAAGCACTAAAGCAAGTATATGTGAAAGAAAAGAGGAAGGACTATAATATAAAGTGGAATGTTGAGAAGAAAAGCTGGAAAATTATTGCATGGGAGGAACTAAGGCCTCATTGTGGTGATGTTTAATCCATGATAAGGATGACAACAGGGAGACATCTCTGCACAAGTATGTGTCAGGGAGAAGCCACCCTTAGTGAAGAGACTCATAGGTGTGAGTTCGGCAGAGGTTAGAAAGTTTGGCTGCAGACAGCCTGAGGAAGATATAAGTAGAGGGATGGAGAATCCTAGGGCCTGGGAGATGAGGTTAGATATCTGCTCCTTTCTGACAACATTGCCCTAAAAGTCAGCACTTTTCAACAACATATAATATCTCATAATTTATGTGGACCAGAATCTGGACACAGTTCAGTTGGGTACCTCTGCCTTTAGGTCTTTTATGACATTGGGACTGTGGTCTTAACTGAAGCTGGACTGGGAAAGCATGAGCCTTTAAGCTGACTCATGTGAAAATTGGCAGGGTTTAGTGTGGCTGGAGAGCCTGACTTTCCTTCTCTCTACTGGTCTGAGCACCCCCTCAGGCTCTGTTATGTTGGTCTTTACATGGAGCATCTCATAGCATTGAAGCTTGCTTCCTGTGTTTGAGGTATACAATAGAGAGAGAGAATTAGACAAAAAGGTGTACACAAAAAGAGACAGAGAAAGATTGAGGGCGCAAACAGGAAAAACCCAGTAGGAGAAAAATGAGAGCTTTAGAAAAATCTTGACAGGGTGCGGTGGCTCACACCTGTAATCCCAACACTTTGGGATGCTGAGACGGGTGGATCACCTGAGGTCAGGGGTTTGAAAGCAGCCTGGACAATATGGTGAAACCACCGTCTCTTCTAAAAGTACAAAATGAGCAAGGTGTGGTGGTGCATGCCTGTAATCCCAGCTACTTGGGAGACTGACGCAGGGGAATCATTTGAACCTGGGAGGCGAAGGTTCCAGCAAGCCGAGATCACACCACTGCACTCCTGCCTGGGATACAAGAGTGAAACTGTCTCAAAAAAAAAAAAAAGGAAACAAAAATCTTGAGAGTTCCAATAATTTTTCTCCTGTATTTATGTTAAAATTGTAACCCCCGTTGTAATGCTATACGGATGAAAGATGTACTTAACTCCTGAGGGTGGGACCTTCATAATAGAGATTACTGGCTTTATACAAGGAACCGCAGAGGGCTCTCTTCCTCCTTCTGCAAAATGATGGTAAAACTTGAAGTCTGCAGTCTGAAATTCAGAAGCGAGTCATCACCAGAGCTCAACCGTGCTGACAACCTGATCTCAAATTTCGAACCTATAGAAGTATGAGAAATTAAGTCCTGTTGTCTATAAGCTGCTTATCTATGGTTCTTTGGCATAGCAGCCTGAACTAATACAAAAGTGATATCCTTTTCTGTATTTCATTGGACAGAAGCTGAATTTGTACCCCTATGCTGTTAAAAAAATGACTTAAAATGGATTTTCAGAATGAAAGATAGGAAATGGCTTGTTGAAACACTAAAATGTTATCTGCTTATAAGATTTTTAAACATTGGCTGAAATTGTTGGAACTGATATGGCCAAATGAAGTCCATGAAGAATCAGATTGCATATGTTAGAGCCCAAATTTCCATTGTGTGTTTCATACTAACTCTCCCTGAATTTGCATGTGACTTGAGAGGAAGCAAGAAGAGATGACAGTATATGTCTCATGACTTTCCATATTCCTACTTTCCTTCCAGCAATCCCTTACAGAACCCACCTCTTAGGCCTTTTCTAATCACTGCCTTAAAGCCAGTATAAGAAAACAAATTTCAGCTGGACTGCTATCTCCTTTTTGGCCAACCTACAACATGATATTTTCCTCAAAACCCAAGGGCCATATTACTGTCATCAGGCTGTAGGCCATTTTATTCAATAAAAAACTGAGTCACTAACCACCTAGTACTGTGAGATTTTGTGAAGAGTTTCCCTGTCATAGACGTGAGAAGGCACATGGATATGATTCTAAATATAAAGAGAAAGCACTAGAAAGTTGAATGGCTGTATTAGGACTTTGTCATACTGCAATGATGAAGTACTTGAGACTGGGTAATTGATAAAGAAAAGAAGTTTAATTGACTCACAGTTCCACATAATTGGGAGGGCACCTCAGAAACCTTCCAATTACAGTGGCTGACAAGTGAAGTGAGTGAGAGCATGGGATGTACCAGATGCTTATGAAACTATCAGATCTCATGAGAACTCACTATCACAAGAACAGCATGAGGAGAACCCGTCCCCATAATCCAATCATCTCCCCTCAGGTTTCTCCCTTAACACCTGGGGGTTACAATACACAGAGAAGTTTGGGTGGAACACACAGCTAAACTATATGAATGCCAGAGGACAGTATCTACATTTAATTTCAACTTCATACTGGAGCAGAATGAAAATGAAGCGCAGTGGAGAAGTGACATTCCCAAGATCACCCTGCCAGACCCAGGCTTGTTTGAGTTGTGGCCCATGCTACCTTCTACATATTCTCCTAATGCTTCCATCTCTAAGTGTGTGCATTATCTACAGGTAACACCACATGATTTTTATGTTTTATCTTATATACATCTAATACAATCCCTAGGAAGTAGATGTTAGCATCATCCCCACTGTGCATGCTTGGAGGCTGGGGAAGCCTCAAATACACAGTGACTTTTATTGGGTCCCAGAGATGGTAAGAAAAACAAGGTTATGTTCCAGCTGTCTCTTATATCCTGGAACCCAGGCTGCATTTAGTTCTTTCCAGGGAATTAAGGGGAAGTTGTGTTTGCATACTTGTGTACAAATGAAGAGTTGACATGGAAGAGGAGACTGAGCAATTAGTAGCATAGTGGGGCTTTTGGGTAGGTCTTACAGAAAGAAGGGACCCAGTAGATGGAACCTTGAAGAGTTTAACACACTTTCTTGGTGACAACCCAACATCAGTTAAGAAACCAGGAACCCACATTCTTGAGACAGCTCTGTATCCACCTCTGTTAGTGAGAGATGCTCAAGAGAGTGAGATGTTCTTTCATTGTGCCCTGAAATTTCTGAGTTTTGACTTTACAAAGGCTCAGTGTAAAAGCCTTATCTGAAAACACGGATGTCAACTCAGGCCTCATCATTGATGCCCCTGGCTATTGGCTGGGTGCACCTACAAATAACACAGGGCAGCTCAGGACAGGCCCCAGAGCCAGGCCTCTCTTGTCAACTCATCTGGGAAGTCCCACACCATTTCTTAGTACCATGAGTTGTATGGGGAGCAAGAGGGAGGGCACTCTTCTTTTACTGAAGCAGATTGTCAGGTGTTGGAACCCTTGTGTACCTGTCATGTTCATACCTAGGCCATAGCTGGCAGAATAAAAAGAAGAGGGTTGGAGAACGAGTCTGTGTACTCAGATGTGAATTCCAAGACTTTAACTTGTCCTCTGGTTTCCTTCCTTGCTGGAGATTCATACAGATTCTCCTTATGTGCCTAATCTGAAGAGCAGAATTTCTTTTCTTTTCTTTTCTCTTTTATTTTCTTTCTTTCTTTCTTTCTTTCTTTCTTTCTTTCTTTCTTTCTTTCTTTCTTTCTTTCTTCTTTCTTTCTTTCTTTCTTCTTTCTTTCTTTCTTTCTTCTTTCTTTCTTTCTCTTTCTTTCTTTCTTCTTTTTTTCTCTTTCTTTCTTTCTTTTTCTTTCTTTCTTCTTCCTTACTTCCTTCTGTCTTTCTTTCTCTCTTTTTCTTTTTCTTTTTTCCTTTTTGAGGAAGCCTCGCTCTGTCACCCAGGCTGGAGTGCAGAGAAAAGCAGAATTTCTAGTGGAGGTGTCACATACGGTGAAAACAAGGCAGACCACTGACTTTTCTTTGCGTGGTTTCTAGGCACTTTTTACAGAGCTGCATTCAGATTGATGAGGAGCTTCTTGATGTGGCCAACTCCTCCCTCTTTTTGGAAAAAGACCAGGTGCACTAAGCCAGCAACCACAGCCAGCACCGGGCTGTGGTAAGAGCAGCCACATAGGGGTCTCTACAGACAGAAACCCGAGAAGACCGGGACAGACCCAGTACCCAGACTCCAGTATGAAAACTCTCTGGGCTGTGTCCTATGATCTTCCCATGAGTAACTCATAGTCTTGATCCAGTGGAATCTGGCCTTCATTAGTCTCAGTGGCAAGTTGGTTATGTGGAAAGTCTCTGTTCACTCACTTGGGTGAATAACAGTAAAGACCTTTCTATTGTTTTCACTTTACATTAGGCCATGAGTATTTGTGCCTGTAGCTGCAGTTTGTGTTAGTTTCCTACCCCAGGTATCTCCTGCAGCATGCAGCTTCAGTCCTACCAGACCCTCAAAACTTAAAAGCGAACACTATTTCTAGGGAGGATTTTGCAGGAAAATGGAGAAAGGGTTACACACAAAAAAGGTTAAACTACTCTATGCATGTTTCTGCAATGTGTTATCTCAAGAATTCATCTCTGTAGCCCATCAGGGCAGGAGCTGGTCTCTCACCTGTTGATAATATTCCATAAGGGAGGTTCTTCCCCACAGTGTTTAGTCTTCCAACGCTGGTATAGCCTGACATGATGACATTCTACTTTCATGTTGGTCATGCTGCAGGGAGAATTCTGTGAGTGTCCTAATAGGCTGGAATCACTTGCTAAGGTGAACCCCATCTTTGGTGCTCACTTTTCTGTTATCTTATAATTAGCTTTATTCTAAGCAAATCCATGTCTATTTTATTTATCTGTTTATTAACTTATTTTTATGTATGGAAAAACACATTTTTTTATTTGCTTATTTATTTAGAGACAGGGTCTCCCTCTGTCATCCAGGCTGGAATACAGTGGTAGATTGGAGTGATCATGGCTCATTGCAGCCTCAAACTCTTGAGCTCAAATGATTCTCTCACCTCAGCCTCCTGTGCCACCATGCCCTGCTAGTTGATTTTAATTTGTTATAAAGAAAGTGTCTCATTATGCTGCCCAGGCTGGTCTCAAACTCCTGGGCCCAAGCAATTCTCTCATCTCAGCCTCCCAAAGCACTAGGATTAAAAACATGAGCCACTGTACTGCGCTGTGCCTACTTCAAAGGACTGAAAATAAAAAATAAATAAATCTTTGCCAAATTAAAAAACAAAGCAATAGTTTCCAGGTCTTAGATAAAGACAATTCTCTGTCATGAAGAATGACAGAAGGCTTATTTAGCTGTTAAAATGATTTGCTTATATTTCAAAGAAGCAGAGAAAAAAAGGTACATGTAAAAGTGTTCCAGGCCACTCATGGTGGTTCATGCCTGTAATCTGAACATTTGGGGAGGCCAAGGCATGAGGATACCTTCAAGCCAAATGTTTGAGTCCAGTACAGGCAATATGGTGAAATTCTGTCACTACAAAAAAATAAAATAAATATGGCTGGGCATGTTGGCTCACACCTGTAATCCCAGCACTTTGGGAGTCTGAGGCAGGTGGATAATGAGGTCAGGGGGTGGAGACCAGCCTGGCCAAAATGGTAAAACCCATTCTCTACTAAAAATAATAATAACAAAAAATTAGCCAGACATGGTGGTGTGCGCCTGTAATCCCAGCTACTCAAAAGGCTGAGACAGGAGAATTGCTTGAACCTGGGAGGTGGAGGTTGCATTGAGACAAGATCATGGCACTACACTCCAGCCTAGCCCACAGAGCAAGACACTGTCTTGAAAAAAAATAAAAACAAAAATAAATAAAGCTAGCCAGGCATGGTGGTTCATGCCTATAGTCCTAGGTAATTAAGCGGTTGATGCAGGAGGACTGCTCAAACCCAAGAGGTTAAGGTTACCGTGAGCTATGATTATGCCGTTGCACTTCAGGCTAAGTAAAAGAGTAAGATTCTGCCTCAAAAAATTACTAATTAAAGTTTTCCAGATTACATTGTTTAAGAAAAAGGAAAAGAAAAAAATCTTTTTTTTATTTTCAAATGGGAGAATAGAGCCTCTCATTTCTAATTTGTATTGCCTTCTGCAAAAACTTAGTCTAGGCCCATGGTCTTGAACTACTGGACATCTGAATTTTGGTAGGTGCTGGATTCAGGCAACTGAGGGGTGGCCTTGGGCACACTGTGTGCACATAAAAGAAAGGGTTTGAGGTGAACTAAAAGGTAAAAGAGGGGAAGGTGCTATTAAGAAACCAGAAGTGAGAGACTGTACAGGGTTGGTGGGAGGACTGGTTCATGCTACAGACACTGACCCAGGTGAAACTTTTCTCTGAGTTATTTCTATGTTCATGCAGGAAGACGAGATTATGATCAGGTGGCACAGAAATCTGCGATGGTGAAAAAACCAGGTTGCCACTGCAGATTCGGTGTCTGAAGTAGAACATATGCCAGGGGTCTTGTAGGCACGTGTGTGGGTTTTTGGTGGGAAAGTCTATGAGGAAAGGTAGGATGGGCAACAATCTTGATGCCAAAGCCTTGTCCTGAGAGGGGCTTGACCACGTCAACATGCAGTGTGTATGTTCAGTGGGTGAAAAACATGTGGTGGCTTCAAGTTGGCAGGAGGGTAGAAGGCATCTGTTCTCAGAACTTCTTCCCTCAGAGTCGTCGGTCCTTCTTACCATGGGAGGATGCCTGGAACCACAGGGCAGTGCATGGCGTAGCAGCCTGTGTGCAGAGCAGAGCCTACCTTCCCCGAGACACCTGGAGTCTCTCTCCAGCAAAGGCCCCCACATTGTCTTTCTCCTTACAACACTTTTGATCCTAAATGTGTAAAGTTCCCTGAAAACCCACTGCTTCTTCAACACCCATTTCTTGCCCCAAAATTTAATTCTGACACAACTTAGAGTTCGCACAGATCCCACAAATTCAGGGCTAAGTCCCACATCACCCCTCTCACTGCAGAGGTTAGTCACATGTCCCATAAGCCCATCTATACTTCTGAGCTACTGCCTATAAATCTGAGACTCCCATAAACCCCTTTTCAAGTTAAATAATTTGATAGAGTTACTCAAAAAAACTCAACAAATAAGTCTAATTATATTTACCACTTTATTATAAAAATACAACTCAGAAACTGACAAATGAAAGAGATGTCTAGGAAAAGGAACAGTTGTGGGTGAAGGTAATCCTGGAAATAGCTATATTTAAAGAAATTCCCCCATTCTTTGTGTTCTCAAAGAACAGCTTAGTGAAGAGAAACGTGCTTCCCATTATGACTTTGTGGATGTTCCCCCCCCCCCTTTTTTTTAACCTATCACAAAGACGGACACAGATTACAAATTCCTATTTTTAAAAATGAACAACCATTCTGTAATTTAGTCTTCAGTGGTCAAAACAGAGTACTTGTTAACAAAACTTTGCTTGTTCCCCTTCTTCCCTCAGCCCCTGAACTTTGACTCACCCACAGCCTCAGAGAACCTACAACCCATATTTATACATATCCCTCCTAAGAACAGGCTGACTTCAAGATGAAACATTATCTTATCTGGGATCTGATTTTGCTACCCTCCATCCTGTGCTTCCTTTCCAACCTTCTTTGTAAACTTATTTTCTCCTCCCTATGAAATAAAACCCTTTTCCACCTAACCTTTGAGATCCTCAAAGATCTAATCATTTGTACTTTTTCCTTGTTACAACACTTCTTAAGTAACTTCTTAGACAAAGTCTATAAACAGTCTCAGGACAATAACAACTCCATTCTAGAAAGAATATCCCAACTTTTCTTCAATCTCAACCCCAACTGCATCTGCCTGTCAACTTCCAGCTTACCAAAGCTCTGTATCTTCTGACAGTGACAAAGGCTCCTTCTATGGTTGGTGTGAGCAGACTTTGATGTCTGCAGGGCAGACACCCAGGAATAATCAACTGGGCCTTCAGTGGCCCCCTTTTGCAGGGTCAACGTTAGCCTTAGCTTTTAGTCAACGGTCTAAGACTTCTACTTACCAGTTAAAGTCATTCAATTAGTTTTCAATTTAAAAAATACTTCATGTTTGAAGAATCCAGCAAAAATCATTCAAATCTAAGGTTTAAAAGAGAGGAAATTATGGTCGGGCATGGTGGCTCATGCCTGTAATCCCTGCATTTTGGGAGGCTGAGGCGGGCAGATTACCTGAGGTCAGGAGTTCGAGACCAGCCTCACTAACATGAAGAAACACAGTCTCTACTAAAAATACAAACTTAAACGGGGGTGGTCGTGTATTCCTGTAATCCCAGTTACTTGGGAGGCCGAGGCAGGAGAATTGCTTGAACCCGGGAGGTGGAGGTTACAGTGAGCCAATATCGTGCCATTGCACTCCAGACTGGGCAACAAGAGTGACACTAAGTCTAAAAAATAAAATTAAAATTAAAAAAGAAAGTTATAAGGGGCTTACATTTTATAACTCAACAAGAAAAGCCAAAGTATCTATCCCTTTCAGAAAATAAACATGTAATTTAATTATGTTCATAACAAATCATTTAGTAAACAATCATATGTGAACACTTCCAGGCGGTGCCAAGTCCCAGCTCCTAAAACTTAGCGTTACCCTCAAACACCCAGATGACAGCATATGGAACAGAGATACTCACTATCAGAAGTTCTCTGTTTTGAAAAAAGAATAACTGATGTGATAAATTTATGTAATTTAACAATTAATCTACCTCACGTGCTTGTAGGTATGTATTCATTTCGTACCACCGTAGTGGAAGAGAGACTATCCCTATCAATACACCTGGTAACATTCCCAACAGTAAGTCGTGAGATTCTGCTTGAAATCACCTCTCAGACAAATAAAAAACAGTCCTGGGAAATGTACGACACTCATTCTGCTAAAGAAATAGGCAAGTAACAATTTTTAACAAGTGAAATATATTACTACTTAATTTTATTCAAAATTCACCAACTTAATGTGCTTTATAAATATTTTCATGCCTTTCAAGCTCTACTGATAAAACATAGTTTACAGTTAATTAAAAAGTGAAGTTAAAGTAAGTACAAAAACATTTTCAAGGTGACAAAATTAGAAGGTGACAGTGCCGATTGAAACACAGACATATCAGACCCAAGGGTCAAGTCAAGCCATTCTATTACTTGGGATATTTTCCCCACTCACATCTGGTTCAGTGAAGTGGGTCATGACCATCCTACCAGGAGTCGCTACCCTGTGCTCCTCTGTGTCCCTGAGGTGCATTTTACTTTGCAGGTTTTTGCACTGCCTCACTAGGTTGGGTTTCTTTGTCCTTTGAAATATTTTCTCTCCCTTCACCAATCTGAGAACATTTTTTCCTCAATATCAGCATCCATTTGCCTGGCCTGCAATGTGTCTCTAAGGAATGGAAACTAAGCTTTGGGGTAAGAAAATCTTAATGACCTAATGGGTTTGCTTTTAGCGCAAGGGTATACCTAGAGATTCCTTCCAGGCACATCTCAAACAACCACTCCACAGAGAGGCTGCATTCCCATACCTTGGGCTGTTCCCTGAGAGGAGATGACACAAGGGATGCTATTTACTAGACACTTCAAGAGTCATGGCCACTGTTGGCATCTTGGGGAATCCTCAAACAGTTTTGAAATTCAAAACCAAGAAAATAACAGGATGGCTGAGGATGTATTGCCCTGTGAAGTTTCCAAAATGAAACCTGAACCCAAAGGCTTTCTGATGGGGTGTCTGTGCCAAGAGAAGTTTAAACAAAGGGGCACAAAGGTTTTCCGCTTTTTATTTATTTTTTTTACAGTGGGGTGTCAGGGGATTATTCTCTGCTTTCATCTCCTGTAAAATGTTTACAAATGAGAAAAAATTTTTTTAAATGACATCCACTGCTTTTTGACAAAAAGAAGAATTGAAATACTGTGTCTGAAATGTACAATAAAGAACAGTTGATAATGTTGTGAATTATGGAAGGTTAGTTAGTGTTGGTGAGTGTCAGGAAAGAACTGGAAATTTAAAATCTGATTGCAAGCCAGAGTTAGGCTGGGGCAACAGGGAGTTAGATTTGAGTCTCTGCCTGCCACACATTTGGAAAATGCATGAGAAAACTAGTTCCCTTTTGGAGTGTTAAAATAACTAAAAAACAGGTGATTATGTTGAGGTGGCTCTAGTGTCCTGAGCTCTGAGTGGAGAGACAGGCCAAGGCCTCCGTACTTCCAAAAAGCTGCCCATTCTTCTCCAGCTGTGCACCTGATTAGATAGTTTCCACTCCAAGACCCATGATTGGATGTAGTTCAATTCCCTACCCTGCCGCCTCAGACCATGAGTGACATATGTGATTTGACACTGGGTTGAATAAAGCAAGAATTATAGGTTTTTCCTGGATCCTTTTCTGGCAGGGCTTCCTCTGTGAACTAGAAACTGGCCCTGCCTGTAAAATATTTGCATTTACATTTGTATGTAAGATTATTTGTATTAATGAATAATATATATGTGTTATTCATATATGGAATCAATATAATGACAATTGTTTTAAAATTTCAGATGTTTTACTTTCCTGGCACATCCAGGTTTTAGAGCAGGCAGCCTGAGATTTCAAAAGGGAGGCAATTCTCTAAGAAATAATATGAGAGGCACAAGTGAATTTTAAATATTCTGGTAACTACATTTTAATAAATATACCGGGCATGCTTCCCTGTGCCTGTAGGTCGAACTATTAGGGAGACTGAGGTGGGAGGATCACTTGAGACCAGGAGTTTGAGACCAGCCCAGGCAGCATAGAGAAAGCCATCTCTACAAAAAAAAAAAAAAAAAAAAAAAAAAAAAAAAATTTGAAAAATTAGCCAGGCCTGGTGGTGCATGACTTCAGTCCCAGCTACTCAGAAGGCTGGAGCTGGAGGATCACCTGAGCCTGGGAGGTCAAGGCTGCAATGAACCATGATCACACAACTGCACTCCAGCCTGGCTGACAGAGCAAAACCCTGTCTCAAAAAACTGATCTCTGGAAAGGCAATTTGTTTTTCTGCAATGTAGCCAAGCAGCTAAGTATGTATTGAAGCCATCCTTTAATTTTTAACAGGGCAAGAAAGCTTTCTAAGACCCCGAACTCCAGATATGCGATGGGGCAAATCCTGAAGCGTACATGGCTATCTCTCACAGCTAAAGCATCCCTCACCCCTATCCAGCGCTTCTTACCCCTGGCGCAAGAGAATCACCTGCGGGGAGGAAAACTTTCAAAATCCCTTAAACCCAAGTTGTAACCGCACAACTAAATCAGAATCCTTGGAGCTGGATCTGAAAAAAATATGGTTGAAAGTCGTGCAGGTGATTACAATGTGTAGGCAAGCCAGAAAACCATGGCTTTAACGAGCAGCTTTTGTTAGAAATGATTTCTCCAATGAATGTGAAAACGTTTGCTGCTGAATTGTGACCTTTCCATTTTACCTGCTTTTCCTGCAAAGTATATTTTGCAGACCCAGGCTGGCTTCTCCTTCTGTTCCTGGTTCACCCAGTGCCGTGTGTGCTCAGTGCATCCTGTGCACGGGTCACTGTGTGCCCTGGCCTGGGTGAGCATCATTCTTCGGGGAGAACCTTGATGAAAACAAAGCTGCATTCCAAAAAGTTAAAACCATGCTACTTACTGTGTTGAAGTAAAAATTAAAAGACCCAGGGGGGCTCACCCAAAAGTTAAAACATAAATAAATAACTTGGAACATTAACATACACCTGATGATGTCCTGAGTGAACACGCCCCACTTGAAAACAAAACAAAACATTGCTATTATTCTAAAATATTAATTTAGGATTGTTATGCAAACATGCACTCTTTACATTTTTATTGATAAATAACATGCATACAGCAATATAGGCACAAAGCATTTAGGGAATGTTTGATGAATTATTACTAAATAAATACACTTGTGTATCTAAGAATCAGATTTGTTCATGCCCCTGACACTTTCCCCTTCCCAAAGGTAACCAAGACCTTAAGAGCTAAGTGTAGATAAACTTTGTCATTTTGTACAAGTGTTTTATTACAGATCACTAAAAACATACACAATACAAAAAAAGTATAACAGACCAGTCACCCAGCTTTAACAGCTGCTAGTCATGTGTCATTTTTGTTTTATCTATACTTCCAGCCATGCCCCCACCCCCAATTTCATTATTTTTTAGGCTTTTTGGATAAAATGTATATTCATTGCAAGGTACAATGCGAACTGTAAATAGTAGAGAGATGGGGTTTTACCATGTTGGTCAGGCTGTTCTTGAACTCCTGACCTCAGGTGATCCACTCTCTTCCACCTCGCAAAGTGCTGGGATTACAGGCGTGAGCCAATATACTCGGCCTGAGAATTCATATTTCTAATAAAGTACAAATCCATAGGGCACATGACAACTGCAATGTCTATCTACAGTAAAAACAGTTTGATGAATAAAATGAAAGGCAATTGACTTAAGGTGGGAAAAAAACAATCAAAGCATGGGTACTATGTGCCATCTGTAGGAGCATTTGGTTAAGAATAACAAACAAACCAGTTTTATTGTTTTAATAACCGAAATTGGCAAAATTTCTAGTTTTTCTTTCATAGGAATGCTCTTAGCAAGAAAAAATTTTCATATGGTGAGAGCAAAAATGACAACCATTTGCAAGTAAATGTCTTATGAAATTAAGTAGCAGATATCAAGCTCATGACCTTCAGATTGTTACCCCTAACTCAATCATTTACATAGCAAGTGCAGATAATTTTCATAGTTCCCCATTAAAATTATACTTTACTCCCCTTACAAATTGTGACTGTTTTTAAATAAAGTTCACTAACTAAAATTTTGTATATGACATATGATAAATTTCCCTTCAAGTCACCTTATATTTACTTAATTGTGTTAGCCAGTGTCTGTCTACCTCCCAACAATACTTTGGGATTCTCCCTCCATTTGCACAGGCATCATAGCTGGGGAACAGGGATTCAAAAGACCCAGGCTGTTCCCTACATATGTTTCCTCCTCAGACATCAGTTAATCAGTCAATCAAGTCAAGTGAGAGTGGAGGCCATGTATTCCCTCTTATTCTTGGGCACTCTCCTCCAAGGAGGAAAAGGCCAGGAGGTCCTGTTAGAGGATGCACTCTGAGAGCCCGGGCTCCCTAAGGTATGAGAGTTCTAACCAGCAGGTGTAGACTTTTCAGGAGTGAGGAATGAGGCAGGCATTCCAAACCTGGAGCTTCATCACCTTTTGTTTCATCTCAAGACAATTCTGAGGGGCTGTTTTGGAGCGTGTCTGGAAGGTGAACGTTGAAGAAGAGTGTGGGCTTTGATGTGACTCAGATGAGATC
>NC_000021.9:5846009-5916593 GCF_000001405.40 Homo sapiens | reverse complement strand
GATCTCTCCTGGATTACGTTTCCGGGCCCGAGACACCCTCCCAGACAATCCCCGCAGCTCTTCAACCAGTGTCCCTGGGGAAAAGATGATCAGTTCTCAGAAAACATTCAGACAGGCAAGAACATGCGCTCACGTAAGCACATGACAAGTATACAACTTTATATGTGATAGTGAGCTTTCTTTTGCAAAATGTCTTCGTGATGCATTTCACTACATAGTATTGTTGAAAACATCAAATTATAGGAGTGAGCACAGTGGCTCAAGCCTGTAATCCCAGGACTTCTGAAGACCAAGGTGGGAGGCTGGATAGAGGACAGGAGTTTGAGACTAACCTGGGCAACACATCGAGAGAGATTACCACTACTTAAAAATATTGCCCAGCATTGTGGCACATGCCTATATTTCCAGCTACTCAGGAAGCTGAGGCAGGAGGATTGCTTAAGCCCAGGATTCAACGTTGCAGTGAGTGAGCTGTGAACAGGCGACCAGAGTTTTTTTGTTCTCTACAGCTTACATTTTCAATAACGGTTGCCGCTAGTTGTCGCCCAAAGACAACTAAAACACGTGTCATCCTGGAATACGTGGGATCCCTGATGGAGGGGTGGGTGAGGAAGTAGGAGGGGACGGAGGCACACGGAGTCGCCCATTTTCTCATGATTCCCGTTGGACTACTTTTCTGGGTGCAGAGCATCCTCCCAGAAAGTCCCCAAAACCATTCAACCAGAGCTCCTGAAAAAAACAGTCGCACTCTCTGCCCATCGGATCATCCGGAATTTCCATTTATCCATTGAGAAGAATGCTCCATTGGAGTTTGGCGCAGGTTACGGTTACAGGCAGGGGCTGCCTCAGACAGAAGTCTAGTCTACAGAGTTTCACAGTAGACCCTAGGTTCAATCTCTCCCAAACTCAGAGTAGCAATATCTGTCACAGTAGAATGAAGTGCATGAAATGCGTGCTCCGAAGAAAGCGTGTTTCACACAGATGATTTGCACACTTATTCTTGTCCCTAGGCCAGTTGTTTCTTCCAAAATACCCATTACTCAATCGTTCACCCTCTCGTGAACCACTTAGGAATCTTGTTCTATGAATCCTGGAGCTTCAATATTTGACATCTTCAGAAGAACATGAATGCTATCCTAGCCTGGTAGCAATAAGGTACCATTTCTCAGAAAACACGCACCTATGCACACAAGCAAGCATGTATACACACATGCCCGCATCATATCTATACAATTTTACACTGTGATAGTGAGCTTTCTTTCCCTAGATAACTTCGTAATTGCTTTCGCTACATAGTATTGTTTAAAATATCAAATTATAGGTGCTGGGTGTGGAGGTTTGACTCTAGTCAAAGCACTTTGCAGGCAAAGCTGGGAGAATCGCTTGAGGTGGGGAGTGTGAGAACAGCCTGGAAAACATAGCAAAATCTAATCTCTACTAAAAATAAAACAAAATTAGTTAGGCGTTGTGGGGTGCACCTATAGTCTCAGCTACTTAAGAGGTTGAGGCAAGGATTGCTTAAGAACAGGAGTTTGAGATCCTATGATACTCACTCCTGCAACACTGCTGTGGCCCATGAATTGGCTACATGACCAATGACACGGAAGGAACATGATTACAAAATTCCTGGCAAAAAAAAAAAATAGAAAAACTTTTGTGGATAAACTTCTCTCACTGGGTAAATTACATAAAGATATGTCTGTTCTATATGAATCCCTACTAAGGGGTAACCGTATCAGAGCATGATTTTGATAATGATGTGGACAGAATGTCTTGTTCCGTGAGTATGGGTCATTCTTACTTCCCTGTCACCCCCATCATCACCCAATGGGCTTATAAACAAGGTGAACATAGTAGCAGAAATAGAAGCAATGCACGGGCTAAGCAATATGAACTTTGAATCCCAAAGGCCAGTCTGGCTACAGTCAATTCTGAATGTTTAATTTGACAGCAGCACAGATCTACACTGAGTCTTTGATATGACATCATTTCCAGGGTGATCCACCAGGCACCTGGTAGTAAATTTATTACGTTGAATAACTTTTATAATATAGGCGGCAACAGTTTGTACTCACTGGAGTAGGCTCTTACTATGGATACAAATTTGCTTTCCCTGGGTGGAATTCTGCCAAAACTACCCTCCATGGACTCACAGAATCCCTCATCCATCCCTATGATATTCCACTTAGCATTGCTCAGACCAAGAAACTCACTTCACAGCCAAAGTGTAGCAGTGTGCTCATCTTCACGGATGTCAGTGGACTTACCATGCTTTCCATTATCTGGAAGCAACTGGATTAATAGAATGATAGGTTTGTCAGCATTTCCAGCCACCCTAACACCTATATCTCCCTGTGCACCCTAAGGGACTCCACAGAATGGTGAATTAGATACATATATCCAAAGGAACTACATACATTTGTGTTCCCCCATCCAAACCTCCAATCGTATGTAGTTTAATATTTAAAGTTGCTGAAGTTAGCTGTAGACAAAGGACAAAAATTAGAAGTGCAGAGGGAATGGGTTCCTTCATGTGGGTAAAGGAGAGACTTACAAAACCTGCTTAATGTGGCTTTTTGCAGTCTTTTTGCTGCTCACAGCTGAACCACATGAACTTCTACTGTTTTGGACTCATCCAAACCTCAACATTAGCTTTAAGAGCTCCTTGATTTTCCAGCAGGAGAAAAGTGAACATGCAAAGCTCTCAGGTTCATTGTTATAATCCTCTCAAGGATCAGTCTCATTAGCAGACAGCAGAGTCTTGATCTCTTGCTTCACCAAACTAACCACTTGGCCGAGAGAATTTGCTGTTGGTCCTGGGGGAACTTCTCATATCCCTTGCAAGCTCTTCAAGTATTTGTTCCTTTTCCCCTTTCAGAAAGTTGTGTTTATCTCAGCATGCCATAGTCATCTCCAAAATTAAATAATTGTGACGTATCTAAGATTTTATAGCATTTGTAAACAACATATTAACCTTCCATTTTCATCGATGCTGGTAGAAGGCATGAGACACTGAAGTATGAAAAAAAATACCTACTATTTACTGCTTACCTGGAGGCAAAAGCCTCATATTTGTATTAGTTCTCCTTGTCCATACTACGTTTTTTGAAGGATTTCAAAAGGCTCATATGGACATTGTACATGGGGAAGATTTGTGTCATAGCTGAGCAGACTCAAGACTAAGAAACCTCAATCTTTTTAAAGTAGGTTACATGGAAGCCTGTCCAACCTTTGCGTCACAAAGAAAAATTGTCTTTATTATATTGATTGAGTAATTTATCTGCCATTCACCTGAAGAGAAAAACTACTACCCTTTTTCCAGGTTATTTGTGTACAAAAATCTTTGAAAAATAACGTGGAACAGGACAGGTATGTGATGTAATCCACAACAAAACAACAAACTCTAAGAGACTTGTGGAGAACTACATCTCAGTAGCATGCATCTTTCCCATTAAATGTTGCACTAAGCAATCCTGTGATAAAAGACAATCCATTGAAGACTTTCGACATGAAGACTAACCTCGGTTGTTTTGTGTCGTGGGATTGTTCAAGTGATTCTCCAGTGTCAGCCTCCAAAGTAGCTGGGAATACAGTCTCCCAAGACCACGCTCAGCTTATTTTTGTATTTTTAGTAGAGGCGGGGTTTTACCATATTGGCCAGACAGGTCTCGAACTCCTGATCTCAGGTGGTCCGCCTGCCTTGGCCTCACAAAGTGCTAGGAATATAGGCATGAGCCTCCGTGCCCGGCCCCAGAAATGAAAGTTCTAGTGCGCAGTAATGTAATTCTGACAGATAAATGACAGGTGAGAGTAAGTGAAAAATCTAACACAATTTAACATTTTTACATATTTAGACATATTGAAATTGGTTAGCTTATTGGAAAAAGTTAAATGACTAGTAATATATACAGCATATTTATTCTGAATGAATTGCTAATCTAGATTTGAGACATGAAATAATTATTTTTACAACACAGAAACATAAACTGCATTTCCATATACAATTAACAATTTGACAGTAAATTAAGAAAACAATTGTTCGCAACAACATTAAAATAATATAATTCTTAGCAATAAATTTAATAAGGAGGTAAATATCTTGTACAATAAAAAATACAGGATCAGAATGTTTATGAAAAAAACTAAAAAGGACTTAAATAACTGGCAACAAATTCCATGTTCCTGAACCGGAAGATTTAATGAAGTTAAGATGACAATACCACTGCCCAAAGGAGTGTACAGATGTACTGTAATCCCAAGTTTTCATTTTTCCAACTTTTCTTCTGCAAAAAGAAAATAGCTCATTTAAAACTTCATATGGAATTTGAACATCCTCTGAATGTACAGAATAATCTTGAAAAGAAGGACAAAATTAGGTGGCTCACAATTTTAAATTTGAAAACATAAAAAGCTACTAAAATTATAACAGTTTGATAGTGGCATAAGAACAATTGTGGAGATCAAATAAATAAAATAGATACTCCAAAAAACCCTTTCATAAATTATTGTTTGTCTTTTTAAAAGTGTGTCTTAATCATTATGTAAAGACAGTTTGTTACACAAGAAATGCTGGGAAAACAAGTCCACATTTAAACCAGTAAAGTTGAATCTTTATCACATTCCAAGTAGAAAAATTAAATAAAAATTGATTAAAGATATAAAAACAAGTGTTAAACTTTAGTGGTTTCTAATAGTTGTTTTTATTTAACTGGGGACAGCACTAACATGAACAACTTTATACACACAAACTAGAAAACTTTAACGAAATAAATAGATTCCTAGATATACACACTCTCTCAAGATTAAGCCAGGAAGACAATGATTTCCTGAACAGACCAGTAAAAAACTCTGATATTAAATAGGTAATAAGTAGCTTGCCAATCAAAAAAAAAAGCTCTGGACTTTATGGACTTACAGCCAAATTCTACCAAATGTACAAAGAAGAGCTGGTACAATTCCTACAGAAACTATACCCAAAAATTGAGAAGGAGGGTCTTCTCCCCAACTCATTCTATGAGGACAGCATGATCTTGACACCAAAACAGGCAGAGACACAACAAAAACACAAAAAATTAGCCGGGCTTGGTAGCAGACACCTGTAGTCCCAGCTACTTGGGAGGCTGAAGCAGGAGAATGGCGTGAACTCAGGAGGCAGAGATTGCATTAAGCAGAGATCGCGCCAGTGCAATCCACTCCAGCCTGGGCAACAGAGGGAGACACCGTCAAAAAAAAAAAAAAAAAGAAAGAAGGGAAAGAAAACTTCAGGCCAACATTCTTGACGAACATCAATACAAAAGTTCTCAACAAAATATTTGGGAGGCAAATCCAGCAGCACATCAAACAGGTAATCCGTCATGATCAAGTAGGCTTCCTCCTTAGGACGCAAGGTTGGTCCATCATGTGCAAATCAATAAATGTAATACATTACATAAACAGAACTAAAAACAAAAAAAAGATGATTATCTCAATAGACGCAGAAAATAATAAAAGCCGTCTATAAGAAACCCACAGCCAACAATGTGTTGAATGGGCAAAAGCCGGGAACATTATTTTTTAAAACCAGTAGAAGGCAAGAATGCCCTCTCTTGCCATTTCTATTCAACTTAGTATTGACAGTACTGACCAGAGCAATCAGGCTAGAGAAAGAAATCCGAAGAACATCCAAATAGGAAGAGAGAAAGCCAAACTATTTCTGTTTGCAGATAACATAATTCTCTATCTAGAAAACCCTGTAGTTTCATCTACAAAGCTTCTTTAGTTAACAAACAGCTTCAGCAAAGTTTCAAGATACTAAATCAATGTGCAAAGATCACTAACATTTTTCTACACCAACGATAGCCACACTGACAGCAAAATCAGAAAGGCCATCCCATTCACAATTGCCACTAAAATAATAAAATATCTGGAAATGCAGCTCACCAGGGAGGTGAAAGAGCTCTACAATGAGATTTACAAAACACTGCTCAAAGAAATCAGAGAAGATACAAACAAATGGAAAACCATCCCATGCTCACGGATAGGAAGATGCAATATCACTAAAATGGCTATACTTCACAAAGAAATTTACAGATTTAATACTATTTCCATCAAACTGCCAATGAAATTTTTTACGGAGCTAGAAAAAACTATTTGAAAACTCATATAGGCCGGGGGCTGTGGCTCACACCTGTAATCCCAGCACTCTGGGAGGCCAAGGGGTGTGGATCATGAGGTCAGGAGATCCAGACCGTCCTGGTCAACATGGCAAAACTCCTTCTCTACTAAAAATACAAAAAATAGCTGGGAGTAATGGCAGCGCTTGTAATCCCAGCTACTTGGGAGGCTGAGGCAGGAGAATCCCTTGAACATGTATATAATATATACGTATGTTATACATATATTTATTATACTTTAAGTTCTAGGGTACATGTGCACAACGTGCAGGTTTGTTACTTATGTATACATGTGCCATGTTGGTGAGCTGCACCCATTAACTCGTCATTTACATTAGGTATATCTCCAAATGCTATCCCTCCCCCCTCCCCCCCCAACAACATTCCCCAGTGGGTAATGTTACCCTTCCTGTGTCCAAGTGTTCTCATTGTTCAATTCCCACCTATAAGCGAGAACATGTGGTGTTTGTTTTTTTTTGTCCTTGTGATAGTTTGCTGAGAATTATCTTTTCCAGCTTCATCCATGTACACACAAAGGACATGAACTCATCATTTTTTATGGCTGCATAGCATTCCATGGTGTATATGGGCCACATTTGCTTGATCCAGTCTATCATTGTTGGACATTTCGGTTGGTTCCAAGTATTTGCATTGTGAGTAGTGCCACAATAAACATACGTGTGCATGTGCCTTTATAGCAGCACCTAACATGACTTTTCTTATTTTCTTAGATTGTGAGTTTCTTTCAGACTAGGACTCTGCTGAGTCAGCTCTCTGTCCTCCCTGTACTCCTTATCACAGTGCTTGGCTATGACAGATGTTTAATAAATATTTGAGAAACACAGTAAATCCATATGAGTGACACAATGTTACGGAAAACTCTGGTCATTCAACAAATTCTATTCTCCCATTTATTAGGGACACAGCAGAATTACATTTCTTAGCCTCATTTGCATGAGATGTGGAAACGTGACCAGTTATTGTTAATGGTTGTAGAGTGAGATGGATGTGAGTCACATTAAGATGAGTCCATCAAGTCTTCTCGCATGCATTTCTTAAAGTACTTTATTTTCAGGGGACTGAACACAAACGGCAACCACGACTCATGGATGATGAAGACAAATAATGAAAGAACTTTGAGTTTCTGAATGACCACATGGAGAGGAGGTGCCTTTTCAATTTGGCCACCGAACAACTCTGTGATGTGTGCTAAAAAGTGCTGTTAATCTACTGCAAATTAGGGATGTGCTGGTATTTGACAGTTCAGCATAATCTAAAACATGCACTTAAAAACCTATTCACTGAATTAATTTAAAAGGCATTTTTATAGTACACTTAAGATGACAAACGTTAAGGTGGTCTTGCAATTTTTACCCTTCCATTTTGACCGTACTATGTTATATTAGAGAACTTGAGCCACATAAATGATCAGTTTTTATTGCGTCTATTTGATTCTTCTCTCTTTTCTTCTTTACTAGTCTTGCTAGCAGTCTATCAATTTTGTTGATCGTTTCAAAAACCAGCTCCTGAATTCACTGATTTTTTGAAGGGTTTTTTATGTTTCTATTTCTTTCAATTCTGCTCTGATCTTAGTTATTTCTTGCCTTCTGCTAGCTTTTGAATGTGTTTGCTCTTGCTTCTCTAGTTCTTTTAATTGTGATGATAGGGTGTCAATTTTAGATCTTCTCTGCTTTCTCTTGTGGGCCTTTAGTGCTATAAATTTCCCTCTACACGCTGCTTTGAATGTGTCCCATAGATTCTGGTATGTTGTGTCTTTGTTCTCGTTGCTTTCAAAGAACATCTTTATTTCTGCCTTCGTTTCGTTATGTACCCAGTAGTCATTCGGGAGCAGGTTGTTTGGTTTCCATGTAGTTGAGCGGTTTTGAGTGAGTTTCTTAATCCTGAGTTCTAGTTTTATTGCAGTGTGGTCTGAGAGAGAGGTTTTTATAATTTCTGTTCTTTTACAATTTGCTGAGGAGTGCTTTACTTCCAACTATGTGGTCAATTTTGGAATAAGTGCGGTGCGGTGCTGAGAAGAATGTATATTCTGTTGATTTGGGGTGGACAGTTCTGTAGATGTCTATTAGGTCTGCTTGGTGCAGAGCTGAGTTCAATTCCTGGATATCCTTGTTAACTATCTGTCTCATTGATATGTCTAATGTTGACAGTGGGGTGTTAAAATCTCCCATTACTATTGTGTGGGAGTCTAAGTCTCTTTCTAGGTCTCTAAGGACTTGCTTTATGAATCTGTGTGCTCCTATATTGGGTGCATATATATTCAGGATAATTAGCTCTTCTTATTGCATTGATCCCTTTATCATTACGTAATGGACTTCTTTGTCTCTTTTGATCTTTATTGTTTTAAAGTCTGTTTTATCAGACACTAGGATTGTAACCCCTGCCTTTTTCTGTTTTCCATTTGCTTGGTAGATCTTCCTCCATCCCTTTATTTTGAGCCTATGTGTGTCTCTGCACGTGAGATGCGTTTCCTGAATACAGAACACTGATGGGTCTTGACTCTTTATCCAATTTGCCAGTCTGTGTCTTTTAATGGGAGAATTTAGTCCATTTACTTTTAAGGTTAATATTGTTTTGTGTGCATTTGATCCTGTCATTATGATGTTAGCTGGTTATTTTGCTCGTTAGTTGATGCAGTTTCTTCCTAGCCTCGATGGTCTTTACAACTTGGCATGTTTTTGCAGTGGCTGGTACCGGTTGTTCCTTTCCATGTTTAGTGCTTCCTTCAGGAGCTCTTTTAGGGCAGGCCTGGTGGTGACAAAATCTCTCATCGTTTGCTTGTATGTAAAGGATTTTATTTCTCCTTCACTTATGAAGCTTAGTTTGAATGAATATGAAATTCTGGATTGAAAATTCTTTTCTTTAAGAATGTTGAATATTGTTCCCCACTCTTCTGGCTTGTAGAGTTTCTGCCGAGAGATCAGCTGTTAGTCTGATGGGCTTCCCTTTGTGGGTAACCCGACCTTTCTCTCTGGCTGCCCTTAACATTTTTTCCTTCATTTCAACTTTGGTGAATCTGACAATTATGTGTCTTGGAGTTGCTCTTCTTGAGGATTATCTTTTTGGTGTTCTCTGTATTTCCTGAATTTGAATGTCACCCTCCCTTGCTAGATTGGGGAAGTTCTCATGGATAATATCCTTCAGAGTGTTTTCCAACTTGTTTCCATTCTCCTCATAACTTTCAGGTACACCAATCAGATGTAGATTTGGTCTTTTCACACAGTCCCATATTTCTTGGAGGTTTTGTTCATTTCTTTTTATCTTTTTCTCTCTAAACTTCTTTTCTCACTTCATTTCATTCATTTGATCTTCCATCACTGACACCCTTTCTTCCAGTTCATCGAATTGGCTACTGAGGCTTGTGCATTCATCACGTACTTCTCGTACATTGGTTTTCAGCTCCATCAGGTCCTTTACGAACTTCTCTGCATTGGTTATTCTAGTTAGCTATTCATCTAATTTTTTTAAAGGTTTTTCACTTCTTTGCCATGGGTTTGAACTTCCTCCTTTAGCTCGGAGTAGTTTGATCGTCTGAAGCCTTCTTCTCTCAATTCGTCAAAGTCATTCTCTGTCCAGCTTTGTTCCATTGCTGGTGAGGAGCTGTGTTCCTTTGGAGGTGGAGAGATACTCTGATTTTTAGAATTTTCCGTTTTTCTGCTCTGTTTTTTCCCCATCTTTGTAGTTTTCTCTCCTTTGGTCTTTGATGATTGTGATGTACAGATGGGATTTTGTTGTGGATGTACTTTCTGTTTGTTAGTTTTCCTTCTAACAGTCAGAACCCTCAGCTGCAGGTCTGTTGGAGTTTGCTGGAGGTCCACTCCAGACCCTGTTTGCCTGGGTATCAGCAGTGGAGGCTGCAGAACAGCGGATATTGGTGAAAAGCAAATATTGCTGCCTGATTGTTCCTCTGGAAATTTTGTCTCAGAGGAGTACCCGGCCGTGTGAGGTGTCAGTCTGCCCCTACTGGGGATGCTTCCCAGATAGGCTACTCGGGGGTCAGGGACCCACTTGAGGAGGCAGTCTGTCTGTTCTCAGATCTCCAGTTGCATGCTGGGATAACCACTACTCTCTTCAAAGCTGTCAGACAGGGACATTTAAGTCTGCAGAGGATTCTGCTGCCATTTGTTTGGCTATTCCCTGCCCCCAGAGGTGGAGTCTACAGAGTCAGGCAGGCCTCCTTGAGATGCAGTTGGCTCCACCCAGTTGGAGCTTCCTGGCTGCTTTGTTTACCTACTCAAGCCACGGCAATGGTGGGCGCCCCTCCCCCAGGCTTGTTGTTGCCTTGCAGTTTGATCTCAGACTGCTGTGCTAGCAATGATTGTGGCTCTGTGGGCGTAGGACCCTCTGAGCCAGGTGCAGGATATAATCTCCTGGTATGCCGTTTGCTAAGACCTTTGGAACAGTACAGTGTTAGGGTGGGAGTCACCCGATTTTCCAGGTGCAATCTGTCACCCCTTTCTTTGACTAGGAAAGGGTATTCCCTGACCCCTTGCACTTCCTGGGTGAGGCGATGCCTCACCATGCTTTGGCTCACATGGGGTGCGCTGCACCCACTGTCCTGCACCCACTTTCTGACACTCCCCAGTGAGATGAGCCCGGTACCTCAGTTGGAAATGCAGAAATCACCTGTGTTCTGCATTGCCGATGCTGGGAGTTCTAGACTAAGGCTTTTCCTATTCGCCCATCTTGGCTCCACCCCCTCTCTAATTAAATTTTAATGTGAATAGTCTGAAATTATTTTTTCTATATCCTTCAGTTTTTTCATAATTCTTCTCTAACTTTTAGGTTCTATGTTTATGCCCCTTACATTTTCCAGAAATGTTTCTGAAGATTATTGCCCATTTTAAAGTTAAACTAATTTTTTATTTAGTTTTTTGTTTATTCTGTATTCTGCTTATCAATCGCTTGTCAGCTGTGTAGTTTGCACATATTTCCTCTCATTTTCTTTCTTTTTTTTTGAGACAGTCTTGCTCTGTCACCCATGCTGGAGTGCAGTGGCACGATCTCAGCTCACTGTAACCTCCACCTCCTGGGTTCAAGAGATTCCCTGGCCTCAGCCTCCTGAGCAATTGGGCTTTCAGGAACCACGCCCGGCTAATTTTTGTATTTTTAGTAGACACAGTGTTTCACCATGTCAGCCAGGCTGGTCTAGAACTCCTGACCTCAGGTGATCCACCAGCCTCAGCCTCCCAAAATACTGAGTTTATAGGTGTGAGCCATCGTCCCTGGCCAATAGAATATTATTTATACAATGGAGTATTAGCTAGCCATAAAAATAAATACAGAACTGATATGTGCCACAACATGGATAAATAATGAAAACACGCTCAAAGAGAAAAGCCAAAGAAAAAAGGTCACATATTATATTATTATATTTCTATAAAGTGACTAGAATAGAAAACTAGAAATAGAAGCCGGGTGTGATGGCTCACGCCTGTAATCCCAGCACTTTGGGTGGCCGAAGCAGGCAGATCACGACGTCAGGAGATCGAGACCATGCTGGCTAACATGGTGAAACCCTGTCTCTACTAAAAATACAAAGAAAAATAGCTGGGCGTGCTGACAGGCATCTGTAGTCCCAGCTACCCTGGAGGCTGAGGCAGGAGAATGGCGTGAACCAGGGAGGTGGAGCTTGCAGCGAGCCGAGATCGTGCCACTGCACTCTAGCATGGGTGACAGAGTGAGACACCAAAAAAAAAAAAAAAAAAGGAAAGAAAGAAAGAGAGTACTAGAGATAGAAAGTCAATCAGTGGTTACCAAGGAAATTCGGTGGATGAATGATAAATTACTGCTTAATGGATATGGAGTTTTTTTGGTGAGAGGGTGATGAAACTATTTTGGAATTTGATAAGGGTGACAGTTGCATAGCATTGTAAATAAACTGAAAAGCACTGAATTTTACACTTTATATTAGATAGTATGTAGAACTCTATATTGTGTAAATTTTAGCTGACTAAAACATTTTAACAAGCAAAGAAAAATAAACTGTAGGCTTTGTGTGGTGGCTCACACCTATAATCTCAGTTTTTTTCAGAGGCTGATACAAGCAGATCACGAGGTGAAGAGATCGAGACCATCCTGGACAACATGGCGAAACCCCGTCTCTACTAATAATACAAAAATTAGCCAGGCTTGGTGGCACGCCCTTATATTCCCAGCTACTCAGGAGGCTGAGGCAGGAGAATCACTTGAACCTGGGAGGTGGAGGTTGCAGTGAATCACTTGAACCCGGGAGGTGGAGGTTGCAGTGAGCCGAGATCATGCCACTCCACTCCAGTCCCGTGAAAGAGCGAGAAGAGAGAGACTCTGATAAAGAAAGAAAGAAAGAAAGAAAGAAAGAAAGAAAGAAGAAAGAAAGAAAGAAGAAAGAAAAAAGAAAATAAGGAAAGAAAGAAAAGAAAGGGAGGGAGGAAGGAAGGAGAAAGAAAGAGAAAGAAAGAAAGAAAGAAAGAAAAGGAAGGAAGGAATGAAGGAAGAGGAAAGAAAGAAAGAAGAAAGAAAGAAACGGAAGGAAGGAATGAAGGAAGAACAAAAGAAAGAGAAAGAAGAAAGAAAGGAAGAAAGAAAAGAAACGAAGGAGAAAGAAAGAAAGAGAAAGAAAAAGAAGGAAAGAAAGAAAGAAGAAAGAAAGAAAAAGAAAGAAGAAAGAAAGAAAGAAGAAAGAAAGAAAGAAAGAAAGAAAGAAAGAAAGACAGAAAAAAGAAATACTATGAAACAGGAGGGCAAATGAGGGAGCCCTGGAAAACGATTCTGTCTCCACTTTCAAAAAAGATCGCCCCCTCCAAAAAAAAGATCCCCAAAGCTCTGACCGAGAAGGTCTTCTCCTTGGATCCCAGAGCAGTGGTCTGAGGATCTGTCACATTCTACACCAGCCTGAGTGCTCAGTCCCGCACACCCCTAGGCCACTTTCTGCTCTGAAAGACCTTCGGAGGACACAGAGCAATTTCCAAAGTTCTGAGAGTACAGTGGTAATTGATAGACAGCAAGGTCAACTCACTTCTTTAAGCCTTTCAAATTTAGGGGTCACACAGTTCAATTATGTCAATTTGTACAGGGAAAAATTGAAGGTTTTCACTACTGTATTCCTCTCCATATTGGGTGTAGGGGGATTCCTTACCATTTTAATTATGCAGATTAATGAATGGAGAAAGTAAGGTTTTGTCCTTGGAAAGCTATCCTGGTGTTGGCTGCAGCCCAGTCAGATCCATGGAAGCCTTGAGCCTCTCAAGCCATCAGCCTATTGCCTTCCCCTGCCCATGTTATGGGTCCTGGGCATGTTACCAGAAGATGGGGTGCTTCTACCCCATGACAAAGCTGCCCCTATCCTCTATCTTTTTTCTTCTCATCACTCCATCAGCGTTAACTCCTCTTATGACCTTTAGCCTGAGAAGTCTGTGTGTGTATGCACAAACCTGTGGAATTCTATGATGCAGACATGAGTTTGCTTCATATGACGAGAAAATTGGCAAAAATCCCCAGGATCTCAGGGACTCATTCCCAAAACAAACCCCATGAGAGTGTTGAGCCCTGGCCTAGGAGGTCAGAATGCTCTTTTTTCCCTTGGACTCTGCCCACTTCATCATCTCTGGGCCAGTCCCTGCTTCTCTCCAGACCTCAGTTTTTCAGATATCCAATGAGATGTGAGATGTCAAAATGCTTAAGCCACAGCTCAACATGCATATGGTCTAACGTCCCTACCAACTAGGATTGGTGTAGCAAGGCTGTGATCAGGGTGTTCCCAGATCTTCCTCACTTGGGAAGAAATAGATGGGTTCTGCACTGGGCACATGGACCTTCTGTTCAAGAAGGGTCATACACACTTGATCTTTCAAGGCCCACAGACAATGTGTGCAAGTGAGCCCCACCTCCACCCCCAAACAGCTTCCATGGAGCATAACAATATGTCCCCTGTCCTCTGAGTCTGGAAAGTAGTGACATCCTCACTTAACACATGGATTGATGGACCCTTTGTATAATTAAATCTTCCCCACTACTGCCTCCACCACTATGCAGATAGAAAAAAGTCTTAGGAAAGTGACATAACATCCAGAATTACACAGAGATTCCATGGCAAAGCTAGCACTTTAGTTAGGATTACATTTTCCTACATATAGAAGAAAACCCAGACCGGGTGCTGTAGTTCACGCCTGTTATCCCAACACATTGGGAGGTTGAGGCAGACGGATCACCAGAGGTCTGGAGTTTAAGACCAGCCTGACCAACATAGAGAAACCCAGTCTCTACCAAAAATACAAAATTTTCCAGGCGTAGTGGTGCATGCCTGTAATCCCTGCTTCTTGAGAGGCTGAGGCAGGAGAATCGCTTGAACCCGGGAGGTAGAGATTGTGGTGAACCGAGATCGCGCCATTGCACTCCAGTCTGGGCAATAAGAGTGAAACTCCGTCTCAAAAAAATTAAAAAAGAAAACCCAATATAATAGTGCAGATAAGAGAGAGAATGCTTTCTTTCTCATAAATAAGGATGTTAGAGCTGGGCAGTCTGACTCTGAACTGTACACGAAGGTAGTCAAAAATAGTCTGTCATTTTGCTAAAATGTTTTTCTTTTTTGAACTTTGTTTTAAGTTCAGGGGTATATGGGCAGGATGTGCAGGTTCTTTAAATATGGAAACATACCGTCCCGAAGTTTGGTTGTGCAGATTGTTTTATCACCCAGGTATTAAGTCTACTAACTATTAGTTATTTTTTCTGATTCTCTCCCTCCTCTCACCCCCTACCTCCTGATAGGCCCTGGTGCGTGTTGCTCCCCTCCATGTTTCTGTGTGTTCTCATCATCTACCCTCCACTTATAAGTGAGAAAATGTGGTATTTGGTTTTCTGTTTCTGTTAGTTTTTTAAGGATAATGGCCTCCAGCTCCATCCATGTCCCTACAAAGGACATAATCTTGTGCTTTTTTATGGCTGCATAGTACTCCATGTTGTATATGAACTACGTTTTCTTCAACCAGTCTATTATTGATGAACATGTAGGCTGATTTGATGTCTTTGCTATTGTGAATAGGGCTGTGATGAACTTGTGCGTGCAGGTATCTTTATAATAGAATGACTTATATTTGTTTGGGTATATACCCAGTAATGAGATTGCTAGGTCAAATGGTATTCTTTTCTTTAGGTCTTTGAAGAATCACCACACTGTCTTCCACAACGTTTGAACTCGACCAACAGGGTAAAAATGTTGCTTTTTCTCCACAACTTTGTCAGCATCTGTGATTTTTTGATTTTTTCATGGTAACCATTATACCTGGTATAAAATGATATCTCATTGTGGTTTGGATTTACATTTCTCTAATGGTCACTGATGTTGAACTTCTGTTTCATACGCTTATTGGCTGCATGTATGTCTTCTTTCAAGAAGTGTTTCTGTGTGTCCTTTGGCCAATTTTTAATAAGGTTGTTTGTTTTTCTCGTGTAAATTTATGTTCCTTATGGATGCTAGAAATTAGATTATTGTCAGATGCACAGTTTGCAAAAATTTTCTCCCATTCTATACATTGTCTGTTTACTCTGTTGATAGTTTCTTTTGCTGTGCAAAAGCTCTTTAGTTTAATTAGATCCCATTTGTCAATGTTCTCTTTGTTCTAATTGCTTTTGCGCCTTCATCATAAAATATTTGCCCATGCCTATGTCCTGAATGGTATTGCCTAGGTTGTCTTCCAAAGTTTTTATAGTCTTGGGTTTTACATTTAAACCATGTTGAGTTTATTGTTGTATATGATGTAAGGAATCTTTCTTTATTTTTTAAATTTAAATTGGGTTCTGAAGTACAAGTGCAGAATGTGTAGGTTTGTTACATTGGTATATGTGTGCCATGGTGGTTTACTGCACCTATCAGCCCGTTATCCAGGCTTCAAGTCCCACATGTATTAGCTAGTTATCCTAATGCTCTCCCTCCCTTCGACTCCCATTCCCTGACTAGCCCCAGTTGTGTTGTTTCCCTTCCAGTGTCCATGTGTTCTTATTGTTCAACTCCCACTTATGAGTGAGAATATGCGGTGGTTAGTTTTCTGTTCCTGTGTTAGTTGCAGAGGATGATGGAGGAAGGGGTTCAGTTTCAATTTTTTGCACATGGCTAGGCAGTTATCCCAGCACCATTTATTGAGTACAGAGTCGTTTTTTCATTGCTTGTTTTTGTCAGGTTTGTCGAAGATCAGTTAGTTGTAGGTGTGCAGTCTTATTTCTGGGTCCTCTATTCTGTTTCATTGGTCTGTGTGTCTGTTCTTGTACCAGTACCATGCTGTTTTGGTTTCTGTAGCCCTGTAGCACAGTTTGAAGTTGGGTAGTGTGATGCCTCCAGCTTAGTTCTTTTTGTTTGGGGTTGTCTTGACTATTCAGGCCTTTGTTGGTTCCATATAAATTTTAAAATAGCTTTTCTAGTTTTGTGAAAAATGTCATTGGTAGTTTAACGGAAATACTATTAACTCTATAAATTTCTTTGTGGAGTGTGTCTACTTTAACAATATTAACTCTTTCTATCCATAAGCATGAAATGTTTTTCTATTTGTTTATGTCATGTCTGATTTCTTTGAGAAGTGGTTTATAGTTCTCCTTGTAGTGGCCTTTCACTTCTCTTGTTAGATACATTCCTTGGTATTTTATTCTTTTTGTGGTAACTGTGAATGAGTGTTCATTCACGATTTTGCTCTTGGCTTGACTGTTGTTGGTATATAAGGATTTAGTGCTAGTGATTTTGGCCCATTTATTTTGTATCTTGGGACTTTGTTAAAGATATTTATCAGCTTAAGAAGCTTTGGGGTTGAGACAATAGGGGTTTTCAAGATATAGAATCATGTCGTCTGACATCAGGTGTTGTTTAATTTCTTTTCTTTCAATTTGAATGCCTTTTTCTCTTACCTGATTGCTCTGCCCAGTACTTCCAATACTATCTGAAATAGGATTCATGAGAGAGGGCATCCTTGTCTTGTGCCCGTTTTAAAAGGGAATGCTTTCAGCTTTTGCCCTTTCAGTATGATATTGGCTGTGGGTTTGTCATACATGGTTCTTATTATATTGAAGTATGTTTTTTTCAATACCTAGTTTATTGAGAGTTTTTACAAGAATGGATGTTGAATTTTATGGATGCAAAGATTTATCTGCATCTATTCAGACAATCATGTGGCTTTTGTCTTTAGTTCTGTTTATGTGATAAATCACATATTGATTTGTGTACGTTGAATTAAAGTTGCATCCCACAGATGGAGCCTACTTGATTGTGGTGGATAAGCTTTCTGATGCGCTGCTGGATTTGGTTTGCCCCTATTTTGTTAAGAATGTTTGCATAAATGTTCATCAAAAATATTGGCATGAAGTTTTTTTTTTTCTTTTTTTATTTTATTATTATTATACTTTAAGTTTTAGGGTACATGTGCACAATGTGCAGGTTAGTTACATATGTACGCATGCACCATGCTTGTGTGCTGCACCCATTAACTCGACATTTAGCATTAGGTATATCTCCCAATGCTATCCTTCTCCCCTCCCCCCTCATCACAACAGTCCCCAGAGTGTGATGTTCCCCTTCCTGTGTCCATGTGATCTCATTGTTCAATTCCCACCTATGAGTGAGAACATGCGGTGTTTGGTTTTTTTGTTCTTGTGATAGTTTACTGAGAATGATGATTTCCAATTTAATCCGTGTCCCTACAAAGGACATGAACTCATCATTTTTTATGGCTGCATAGTATTCCATGGTGTATATGTGCCACATTTTCTTAATCCAGTCTATCATTGTTGGACATTTGGGTTGGTTCCAAGTCTTTGCTATTGTGAATAGTGCCGCAATAAACAAACGTGTGCCTGTGTCTTTAAAGCAGCATGATTTATAGTCCTTTGTGTATATACCCAGAAATGGGATGGCTGGGTCAAATGGTATTTCTAGTTCTAGATCCCTGACGAATTGCCACACTGACTTCCACAATGGTTGAACTAGTTTACAGTCCCACCAACAGTGTAAAAGTGTTCCTATTTCTCCACATCTCCTCCAGCACCTGTTGTTTCCTGACTTTTTAATGATTGCCATTCTAACTGGTGTGAGATGGTATCTCATTGTGGTTTTGATTTGCATTTCTCTGATGGCCAGTGATGGTGAGCATTTTTTCATGTGTTTTTTGGGTGCATAAATGTCTTCTTTTGAGAAGCGTCTGTTCATGTCCTTCGCCCACTTTTTGATGGGGTTGTTTTCTTCTTGCAAATTTTTTGAAGTTTTGTTTTTTTTCTTGTGTGTCTGCCAGGTTTTGGTACCAGGATGATGTGCTCTCATAGAAAGAGTCGGGAAGGAAGCCCTCTGTTTCAGTTTTTTGAAATAATTTTAGTGGGAATTGTACCAGTTCTTCTTCATAAATGTCATAACCTTCAGCTTTTAATCTTTGTGTTTCTGATCTTTTTGTGGTTTGTAGGCTATTTATTACTGCCTGAATTTCAGAGCCTGTTGTTTGTCTTTTCAGGGATTCAATTTCTTCCTGGTTTATTCTTGAAGGGTGTATGTGTCCAGAAATTTATCCATTTCTACTGAATTTGTTATCTTATAGGCATAGAGGTGTTTATGATATTTTCTGATGGTTATTTTTATTTCTGTGGGGTCAGTGGTAACCCTTATTATTTCTGATTGTGTTCATTTTAATTTTTGATATTTTCTTCCTTATTAGTCTACTACTGGTGTATTTATATTATTGGTTTTTTCAAAGAAAAAGAAACAGCTCCTGAATTTGTTGATCTGTTGAATGGTTTCTCTTGTCCCTATCTCCATCAGTTCAGGTCTGATTTTGGTTATTTCTTGTCTTCTGCTAGCTCTAGAACTTCTTTGCTCTTGTTCCTGTAGTTATTTTTGTTGTGAAGTTGTAACTTGAGACATTTCTGGCATTTTAATGTGGGCATTTAATGCCATAAATTTTCATCTTAATACTGCCTTAGCTGTGTCCCAGAGATTCTGGTATGTTTTGTCTTTGTTCTCATTGGTTTCAAAGAACTCCTTGATATCTGCCTTAATTTCATTATTTACCCAAAAGTTATTCAGGAGCAGGTGATTCAATTTCCATTTAATTTTATGGTTTTCAGTAAATTATTTCATCGTGAGTTTTAATTTGATTGTGCTGTGATCTGAGCCACTGTTTATTATGATTTCAGTTCTTTTGCATTTGCTGAAGAGTGTTTTACTTCTGGCTAAGTGACCAATTTCAGAGAAAGTGTCATGTAGTGATGAGAAGAATGTATATTCTGCTGTTTTCATGTGGAGAGTTCTGTAAATATATATCATGTCCATTTGATCCAGAGCTAAGTTCAGGTCCTGAACATCTTTGTTAATTTTCTGTCTCAATAATCTTTCTAATACTGTCAGTGGGATGTTAAAGTCGGTCACTATTATTGTGTGGTGTTCTAAGTCTCTTTCAAGATATCTAGAAACTTGTTATATGAATCTGGGTACTCTTGTGTTGGGTGCATATATATTTAGAATAGTTAATTCTTGTTGAATTGAATTATTTGCCGTTATGTAATGACCCTCTTTGTTGTTGTTGTTGTTGTTGTTTTTAATCTGTGTTGCTTTAAAGTCTGTTTTGTTGGAAAGTAAGACTGCAACCCTTGCTTTTTTAGGTTTTCCACTTGCTTGGTGAAATTTCCTCCATCCCTTTATTTTTAGCCTATGTGTGTCCCCGCATGTGAGATGGGTGTCTTGAAGAGCATACCAATGGGTCTTGGTTTTTATACAATTGCCACCCTGTGTGTTTCAACTGGGGCATTTATCCCATTTACATTTAAGGTAAGTATTGTTATGCGTAGATTTTATCTTGTTATCTTGATGCTAGCTGGTTATTTTTATTTTTCAGACTTGTTTATGTGGTTGATTTATAGTGTCAATGGTCTGTGTACTTGAGTGTGTTTTTGTGGTGGCTGGGAATAATTTTCCCTTTCCAAATTGGTGCTTCCTTCAGGAGCTCTTGAAAAGCATGTCTGGTGTTCATGAATTAACTCGGAATTTGCTTGTCTGAAAGGGATGTTATTTCTCCCCAGATTAAGCTTAGTTTGGCCAGATATAAAATTCTGGCTTAAAGTTTATTTTCTTTAAGAACGTTAAATATTGGCCCCCAATCTCTTTTGGCTTGTAGGGTTCTCACTGACAGCTCTGCTCTTAGTCTGATCAACTTCTTTTTGTAGGTGACTTGGCTTTTCTCTGCGGCTGAGCTTTTTTTTCTTTTTTTTTCTTCCATTTCAAGTTTGGGGAATCTGACGTTTATGTGTCTTGGGTATGATTTTTTCTTGGAGTATCTTACTGAACTTCTCTCCATTTTCTGAATTGTTGGCCAGTGTAGCAAGGTTGGGGAAGTTCTCATTGATGATATCCTGAAATATGTTTTCCTGATTGGTTCCATTCTCCCCAGCTCTTTCAAGTACACCAATCAGTTGTAGATTTGGTCTCTTTACATAATCCCATATTTCTCAAAGGTTTTGTTTATTCCTTTCATTCTTTTTTTCTATTCTTCTCTGCATGTCTTCTTTCAGAAATACAAACTTCAAGCTCTGAGTTTCTTTCCTCATTAATACTTGTGATTGCATTATGAAATTTTTGTATTGTGTTTTACAGTGCTATCGGGTTGGTTAGGCTCCTCTCTATCCTGGCTAATTTGTTTGTCAGCTCCTGCAATATTATATTGTAATTTTTAGCTTTCTTGTATTGAGTTAGAGCATGCTCCTTTAGATCAGTGAAGTTCATTTTTATCCACATTCTGGGGTCTACTTCTGTTATTTCAGGGATCACAGCCTCACCCTTATTCTGAACTCTTGCTGGAGAAGTAGTGTGGTCATTTGGGAGAGGGAGAGCACCCTGATTTTTGAGTTTTTAGTATTCTTGTTGTGATTCTCACCTTTGTGTGCCTATCTATCTTTAATCTTTGAGGTTGCTGGCCTTTGAATGAGATTTTTGTTTGTTTCTCTTCCTTTTAACTGTTTGGCCATTTTGTGTGGGGCTGCTGTAGTTTGTTGGGCATCTGCTCCACTCTCTTGTCACCTCGGATTTTCCAGTATCTGGGGGTATCACCAGTGAAGGCTGTGAAACAAGAAAGATAGCAGCCCACTCCCTTCCCTGGGAGCTCCATCCCAGGGCGGGTGCAGACATGTTGAGGGCTCGAACACACCTGTAGGAGGTGACTGGAAACCCCAGTTGGTAGGTCTCACCCAGCTAGGAGGAATAGGATTGGGGACCCACTTAAGCCATCTAGCCCCACTTTCATAGATCAGCCATGCTGTGCGGGGTACCATTTCTGCCCTTCATCAGATTGGGCTCTCCAAAGCCTGGAGGCTGAAACAGCAAAGTGGCTGAAACAGCAAAGATGGTGGCCAACCCCTCTCTCTAGGAACTCTGGCCCAGGAAGTTTTTAAACCTCTGCCAGCCAGACAACATCAGTGGGAGTTGCTGGAGGCCCTGGTTGGGAAGTTCCACCCAGAGATGCAGAGCATATTAGGTCCCACTTAAAGAAGCAATCTGATCACATTATGGCAGATCCACTGTGCTATGCTGGGGGATTCCTTCTTCCCTGGGATGGTTTGGACTCTCCTAAGCCCACTGATTGTTATGGCTGAGTTCTCCAAACAACAAATATGAAGACCCACTGCTCCCAATGTGCACTGCATCCAGGAATAAATCAAAACTCTGCCTGCCGGAGAATATGGAAGGGGCTGTCTGGAGGCTCTGGTAGGAGGCCCCACTCTGAGATGAAAAAGGTATCTGGGTCCCACTTCAAGAAGTAGTCCGGCCAAACTTTGGGAGGGCCAATGTGCCGTGCTAAGGGATTTCTTCCATCTGCCATGAGTTTTTTTTTTTTTTAACTCTCCTAAACCTCCAGGCTGGAATGGCTGAGTCATCCAAACAGCAAATATAGCAGCCAGCCCCTGCCTCCAGGAACGTTGTTCCATCCCAGGTAATTGCAATGCTGTTGCTGGGGGCTGGATGGAATTCCAAGCCAGTTGATCTTATCCTGTGAGGCGTCATGGAAGTGGGGCCCACTGATGCTGCTCAGGCCCATGGATTCAGCTTCCTTTCTAGGGGCATTTACGGAGATCCAACCTCCCACCTTGTCTGAGTTGCAGTCACCTTTGCCAGAGATCTCAGAGCCAAAATATGTAAAGCTCCTGCGATTCTGTTTGTGTCTGAGCAGTTGTTCTGCCGGGAACACGCAGCTCTGTGTATCAGACCAAAGGCCCTGGTGGAATAAGTTTACGAGAAAATCTCCTGATCCGAGAGTTGCAAAGATCCATGGGAGAAGTGTGGTTTCTCAGGGTCACGTATTTGCTCACCACTTCCTTGGGCAGGGTAGGTTCCCTTTGGTCTGTGTTACTCCCGGGTGGGCGGTTGCCATGCCCTTCTTTTTCCCATGGGTTGAGCTGTTTCCTTCATTAGTCCCACTGCAAATATCTGGGTGTTTCAGTTGATGGTGCTGTATTTATTTTCCCTCTTTGTTTCTTTTCATGAAAGCCACACACCATAGCTACTTCTAGTCAACCCTCTTGGCACACTTTGCTACAATATTTCAGTAGATGGTTTTTATCCTGTAGGCTGTCTCATGGTCCCATATGGCTGGCTGTAGGAGCACAAGCCTGCACCAGCAACCATGTCCATTTCAAAGGCTAAGAAGTAGGAAAGATGCAAGGTCAAAGTGGCTTGCACAGCTGCATCAGCTCCATCTGAGGAATCTCCCTGAAGTCCCATCAATACTTATGGTTACAACCAATTGTCTTGAATAGGGGTCAGAAACTATAACCTTTGTGTTTGTAAGTTGCTGTTTGAATAAAACTAAATTTCTAATTTTGTGTTTTGTTTTGTTTTGTTTTGTTTTGTTTTGTTTTGTTTGATGGAGTCTCACTCTGTCACCAGGCTGGAGTGCAGTGGTGTGATTTTGGCTCACTGAAACCTCTGACTCTTGGGTTCAAGTGATTCTCCTGCCTCAGCCTTTCAAGTAGCTGGGATTACAGGTGTGCTTGCATCACCATGCCCAAAATGCTGGGATTACAGGCATGAACAACCACACCCAGCCCTGACTCTCTGTTTTTAAGAGTGAAAGCAAAATTAAAACTGTGGCGATGACAAGTGCTCTTTTTCTACACTAAATTCAAAGGTAAACAGAAGAAGATGGAGGTTTTCTCAGGTGAAGTGGGCACTCATTTTTCAAACAAAGCCTTTTTTGGTGATTATTTATTTTCAGATCAGATGGGAAAAAAATCTGGGTTCTTGTAAGCACTCCCTTTATGACCAAATGTTAGTCAAGCTTAACTGAACCCTCTTTTTGACTAAGCCAACCTTGACTTCTTGCCCTGCTCCTGGTTTGAGAGGCTCACTTTCATAAATCCTGCTAATACTGTTTAGTAAAAATCCACATATCCCTTATGTCTACTAATATCGTGATTCCCTTTCTTTGATATTTAAGTCCTTAGCCAACCTGTAACCAGCCTTCTGCTATAAAAAGTTCCTCTTCCTCCTTTGGTATTTTATCAAATGTTTTTCAATAATTTTTATCCACTGATTTATTCTGCTTATTGACTATAAATTCTTCGTTGTCTGTGTTCAGAGTTATGATCAATTTCTGAACTGAACCCTATTACGATGGCCATAAAATCTACTACAATAGTATTAATGTCTTTCTTCCCAATTTTTAACAAACATCAGAAATTTTTATTTCACAGTTTCCCAACAGTATGTTTGAGTATAAAAACAGTTTTCAGTTTGCCCCCAAAAATGATGTGATCCACTGTGTAGATGTGTATGCCTGATCCTTGTGTCCAAAAAAGTATGTTTTTATTTAAATGGGGTGAGGGTGACAGATTATAGAGCCAATGTTTTCCTAAAATGCTGAGTCATAAGTGAAACCATACAAATCAAGAATATAGAATGCTTGGACTCCAACGTTTTTAACCCTGAGGATATTTTGATGTCCATAATTTATATTACTGTGAAAATAATGCACAAGAAAGAAAACTGATAGCTCTCCCTCTCCCTCTCCCTCTCCCTCACCCTCTCCATCTCCCCACGGTCTCTCTCTCCCTCTCTTTCCACGGTCTCCCTCTGATGCCGAGCCGAAGCTGGATGGTACTGCTGCCATCTCGGCTCACTGCAACCTCCCTGCCTGATTCTCCTGCCTCAGCCTGCCGAGTGCCTGCGATTGCAGGCGCGCGCCGCCACGCCTGACTGGTTTTCGTATTTTTTTGGTGGAGACGGGGTTTCGCTGTGTTGGCCGGGCTGAGCTCCTAACCGCGAGTGATCCGCCAGCCTCGGCCTCCCGAGATGCCGGGATTGCAGACGGAGACTCGTTCACTCAGTGCTCAATGGTGCCCAGGCTGGAGTGCAGTGGCGTGATCTTGGCTCGCTACAACCTCCACCTCCCAGCAGCCTGCCTTGGCCTCCCAAAGTGCCGAGATTGCAGCCTCTGCCCGGCCGCCACCCCGTCTGGGAAGTGAGGAGCGTCTCCACCTGGCCGCCCATCGTCTGGGATGTGAGGAGCCCCTCTGCCTGGCTGCCCAGTCTGGAAAGTGAGGAGCGTCTCTGCCCGGCCGCCATCCCATCTAGGAAGTGACGAGCGCCTCTTCCCGGCCGCCATCACATCTGGGAAGTGAGGAGCGTCTCTGCCCGGCCGCCCATCATCTGAGATGTGGGGAGCACCTCTGCCCTGCCGCCCCGTCCGGGATGTGAGGAATGTCTCTGCCCGGCCGCCCCGTCTGAGAAGTGAGGAGACCCTCTGCCTGGCAACCACCCCGTCTGAGAAGTGAGGAGCCCCTCCGCCCGGCAGTCACCCCGTCTCGGAAGTGAGGAGCGTCTCCGCCCGGCAGCCACCTCGTTCGGGAGTGAGGTGGGGGGGTCAGCCCCCCGCCTGGCCAGCCACCCCATCCGGAAGGGAGGTGGGGGGTCAGCCGCCCGCCCGGCCAGCCGCCTCCTCCGGGAGGGAGGTGGGTGGGTTAGCCCCCCACCCGGCCAGCCGCCCCATCCGGGAAGTGAGGGGTGCCTCTGCCTGGCAGCCCCTGATGGGAAGTGAGGAGCCTCTCTGCCCGGCCAGCCGCCCCGTCTGGGAGGGAGGTGGGGGGTCAGCCCCCCGCCCGGCCAGCCACCCCTTCTGGGGGGGAGAGAGGTGGGCGGGTCAGCCCCCCGCCCGGCCAGCCGCCCCGTCCGGGAGGTGAGGGGTGCCTCTGCCCGGCCACCCCTACTGGGAACTGAGGAGCCCCTCTGCCCGGCCAGCCACCCCATCCGGGAGGGAAGTGGGGGGGTCAGCCCCCCGCCCAGTCAGCCGCCCCGTCCGGGAGGGAGGTGGGGGGTCAGCCCCCCGCCCGGCCAGCCGCCCCATCCGGGAGGGAGGTGAGGGGGTCAGCCCCTCGCCCGGCCAGCCGCCCTGTCCAGGAGGGAGGTGGGGGGGTCAGCCCCCAGCCTGGCCAGCCGCCCCGTCCGGGAGGTGAAGGGCGCCTCTGCCCAGCCACCCCTACTGGGAAGTGAGGAGCCCCTCTGCCCTGCCACCACCCCGTCTGGGAGGTGTACCCAACAGCTCATTGAGAATGGGCCATGATGACAATGGCGGTTTTGTGGAATAGAAAGGGGGGAAAGGTGGGGAAAAGATTGAGAAATCGGATGGTTGCCGTGTCTGTGTAGAAAGAGGTAGACATGGGAGACTTTTCATTTTGTTCTGTACTAAGAAAAATTCTTCTGCCTTGGGATCCTGTTGATCTGTGACCTTACCCCCAACCCTGTGCTCTCTGAAACATGGGCTGTATCCACTCAGGGTTGAATGGATTAAGGGCGGTGCAAGATGTGCTTTGTTAAACAGATGCTTGAAGGCAGCATGCTCCTTAAGAGTCATCACCACTCCCTAATCTCAAGTACCCAGGGACACAAACACTGCGGAAGGCCACAGGGTCCTCTGCCTAGGAAAACCAGAGACCTTTGTTCACTTGTTTATCTGCTGACCTTCCCTCCACTATTGTCCTGTGACCCTGCCAAATCCCCCTCTGCGAGAAACACCCAAGAATGATCAATTAAAAAAAAAAAAGAAAACTGATAATGCTTAAAATTAAACATGGTGCAACGTATCACTGACTAAAAACTGATATAAGAAAACATTATTCCAAAAAACATTTGGGTATCCACCACTTAACCCAGGAAAGTAGACCGTGTAGAAATAATGGTCCCTACAGACAATTTGTAGAAGCAGAATCTATAAATTATGATGTGAAAAATTCAGGTAATTTTTGTTTAAATATAGTGATCCTGATAAAAATTCAATTGAATTAAAAATTAGAGAAGATTAACTTGAATTAGTTATGTTTTTATAAAATATAAATTATGAAGTTAAAACGTAATATATAAGTATGCTCTGGAAAACACATTCTCAAATGAATAAAATTTCTTTTTATTGGATTAGTTGAATGTTTGATGTTATCTGTTTATTAAACCCAAGGGGATATCACCACCGATCCCACAGAAATACAAACTACCATCAGAGAATACTATAAACACCTCTATGCAAATAAACTAGAAAATCTAGAAGAAATGGATAAATTCCTCGACACATACACCCACCCAAGACTAAACCAGGAAGAATTTGAATCTCTGAATAGACCAATAACAGGCTCTGAAATTGAGGCAATAATTAATAATTAGCTTTCCAACCAGAAAAAGTCCAGGACCAGATGGATTCACAGCCAAAATCTACCAGAGGTACAAGGAGGAGCTGGTACCATTCCTTCTGAAACTATTCCAATCAATGGAAAAAGAGGGAACCTCCCTAACTCATTTTATGAGGACAGCATCATCCTGATACCAAAGCCTGGCAGAGACACAACAAAAAAAGAGAATTTTAGACCAATATCTCCGATGAAGATCTATGCAAAAATCCTCAATAAAATACTGGCAAACCGAATCCAGCAGCATATCAAAAAGCTTATCCACCATGATCAAGTGGGCTTCATCTCTGGGATGCAAGGCTGGTTCAACATACACAAATCAACAAACGTAATCCACCTTATAAACAGAACCAATGACAAAAAAACCATGTGATTATCTTGAGATATCAAGAGATGCAGAAAAGGCCTTTGACAAAATTCAACAACTCTTCCTGCAAAAAACTCTCAATAAATTAGGAATTGATGAGACGTATCTCAAAGTAATAGGAGCTATCTCTGACAAAGCCATAGCCAATATCATACTAAATGGGCAAAAGCTGGAAGCATTCCCTTTGAAAACAGGCACAAGACAGGGATGCCCTCTCTCACCACTCCTATTCAACATAATGCTGGAAATTCTGGCCAGGGCAATCAGGAAGGAGAAGGAAATAAAGGGTATTCAATTAGGAAAAGAGGAAGTCAAATTGTCCCTGTTTGCAGATGACATGATTGTATATCTAGAAAACCCCATCATCTCAGCCCAAAATCTCCTTAAGCTGATAGGCAACTTCAGCAAAGTCTCAGGATACAAAATCAGTGTGCAAAAATCATTAGCATTCTTATACACCAATAACAGACAAACAGAGAGCCAAATCGTGAGTGAACTCCCATTCACAATTGCTTCAAAGAGAATAAAATACCTAGGAACCCAACTTACAAGGACGTGAAGGACCTCTTCAAGGAGAACTACAAACCACTGCTCAATGAAATAAAAGAGGATACAAACAAATGGAAGAACATTCCATGCTCATGGGTAGGAATAATCAATATCGTGAAAATGGCCATACTGCCCAAGGTAATTTATAGATTCAATGCCATCCCCATCAAGCTACCAAAGACTTTCTTCACAGAATTGGAAAAAACTACTTTAAAGTTCATAAGGAACTAAAAAAGAGCCCTCATTGCCAAGTCAATCCTAAACCAAAAGAACAAAGCTGGAGCCATCACGCTACCTGACATCAAACTATACTACAAGGCTACAGTGACCAAAACAGCATTGTACTTGTACCAAAACAGAGATATAGACCAATGGAACAGAACAGAGCCCTGAGAAATAATGCCACATATCTACAACCATCTGATCTTTGACAAACCTGACAAACACAAGAAATGGGGAAATGATTCCCTAGTTAATAAATGGTGCTGGGAAAACTGGCTAGCCGTATGTAGAAAGCTGAAACTGGATCCCTTCCTTGCACCTTATACAAAAATTAATTCAAGATGGATTCAAGACTTAAATGTTAGACCTAAAACCGTAAAAACCCTAGAAGAAAACCTAGGCAATACCATTCAGGACATAGGCATGGGGAAGGACTTCATGTCTAGAACACCAAAAGCAATGGCAACAAAAGCCAAAATTGACAAATGGGATCTAATTAAACTAAGGAGCTTCTGCACAGCAAAAGAAACTACCATCAGACTGAACAGGCAACCTACAGAATGGGAGAAAGTTTGTGCCATCTACTCATCTGACGAAGGGCTAATATCCAGAATCTACAACGAACTCAAACAAATTTACAAGAAAAAAACAACCCCATCAAAAAGTGGGTGAAGGATATGAAGACCCTTCTCAAAAGAAGACATTTATGCAGCAAAAAGACACATGGAAAAATGCTCATCATCACTGGCCATCAGAGAAATGCAAATCAAAACCACAATGAGATACCATCTCACACCACTTAGAATGGCGATCATTAAAAAATCAGGAAACAACAGGTGCTGGAGAGGATGTGGAGAAATAGAAACACTTTTACACGGTTGGTGGGACTGTAAACTAGTTCAACCATTGTGGAAGTCAGTGTGGCGATTCCTCAGGGCTCTAGAACTAGAAATACTATTTGACCCAGCCATCCCATTACTGGGTATACACCCAAGGGAGTATAAATCATGCTGCTATAAAGGCACAAGCACAAGTATGTTTATTGCGGCACTGTTCACAATAGCGAAGACTTGGAACCAACCCAAATGTCCAACAATGATAGACTGGATTAAGAAAATGTGGCACATATACACCATGGAACAAAATGCAGCCATAAAAAATGAAGAGTTCATGTCCTTTATAGGGACATGGATGAAGCTGGAACCATCATTCTGAGCAAACTATCCAAGCACAAAACACCAAACACCGCATGTTCTCGCTCATAGGTGGGAATTGACCAAAGAGAACATATGGGCAGAAGAAGGGGAACATCACAATCCGGGGCCTGTTGTGGGGTAGGGTGAGGGGGGACGGATAGCATTTGGAGATATACCTAATGTTAAATGGCGAGTTACTGGGTGCAGCACACCAACATGGCACATGTATACATATGTAACAAACCTGCATGTTGTGCGCATGTACCGTAAAAGTTAAAGTATAATAAAAAAATAAAATAAAATAAAATTTAATTAGAAATGAAAAAAGAAAATTCTACAACTTGAAACTAGATAGAAGATAGATCAGAAACAAAAATAGGAGTAAAGTGTGACTTTCTTCTCACTGTTTGATTATTATAGAGGCATTTTTATTTCATTAAAATCTTATATTTCTGGGGCTAGTTAATGTTATGATATTTTATTTTTAAATAGTTTTATTTTATTTACTTCAGTTAATTTGTAATTTTTGAGGATGCATTGTAGGTGTATATACTTATGGGGTTCATGAGATGTTTTGATGCGGTCTCGCAATGCATAATAATCACATCATAGAGAATGGGATACCCACCCACTCAAGCATTTATTCTTTGGGTTAAAATCTGATTATTCCTTCTTAGCTAGTTTAAAATGTACAATTACATTATTATTGACCAGAGTCATCTCGTTGTGCTATCAAATAATATGTCTTATTTATTCTATTTTTTTGTACACATTAACAGTCCCCACCTTTCCCCCAGCCTCCACTGTCTTTCTTAGCTTCTGAAAACCATCCTTCTGCTCTCTATGTCCGTGAATTCAGTTGTATTAATTCTTCCATCCCACGAATAAGTGAGAACGCACAGTGTTTATCTTTCTGTGCCTGGCTTATTTCACTTAACATACTCTTCTCTTTTATCCACGTTGTCGTAAAAGACAAAATCTCATTTTTATGGCTGAATACTACTCCAATGTATATATGTACTACTTTTTTTATACATTCATTCATTTGTAGACAGTTTGCTTTCAAATCTTAGCTATTGTAAACAGTGCAGCAACAAGCCGATTTTCTTTCTTTTGTGTCAATGCCCATCACTGGGATTGTTGGGTTGCATTGTAGCTGTGGCAGCTCAATTTTTAGCTTTTTGAGGAACCTCCACACTTTTTTATAGTGGTTATACTAATTTACATTCCCACCAAGAGTGCACTAAAGTTTTCTCCACATCCTCGTCAGCACTTGTTATTGTCTGTCTTTGGGATATAAGACATTTTAACTGGAGTGAGATAATGTCTTATTGTAGTTCTGATTTGCATTTCTCTGAGGTTTAATGATGTTTAGCAACATTTATATGTCTGTTTGCCATTTGTATGTTTTCTTTGTAGAAATGCCTCCTCCTGGCTGGGTGTTTCATGCCTATAATCTCAGCACTTTGGGATGCCGAGATGGAAGGATCACCTGAGGTCAGGAGTTTGAGATCAGCCTGGCCAACATGGCTAAACCCAGTCTCCACTAAAAATATAAAAATTTGTCAGGCATGTGTTCTGCATGGGAGATCCATGAGGAAGAAGAAAAGGCACACACAATACTTTTAAGGGTAAACATCTTTTGTCTCAATTATATGGCAATACAGATATAATAAGTAAATGATATGATAAGCAAATTGATATGAGAAGGGAAAAAATATATATATTTTTTATATATATAAATATATATATTATATATATATAATTATATATGTATTTATTTACATTTATTTATTTAAATAATTATGTACATAATTATATAATTATTTTTATTTACAGTTATATGTATAAATTATATACATATATATGTATATATATATATATATACATATGTTTACACACAGCAGACTACAGAGTATGGAGGAAGCATCACCAGACAGAGAAGCAATAGCCTGGGCTCCAGAGTCAGACACTACACTCACCAGACTATGGAGGATTCATCAACAGACCGGGAAGCAACAGCCTGGGCTACAGAGTTGGCCCCTCATCCCTGCAGAGATGGGGAGAGGTCTCAGGAAGCTCTAGTGCCATCTGGGACCCTAGCTCTTTTTGTAAGGAGTTCTTTGGCATAAGGCCGGGTAACGAGGACTCTTCACTACTGGGCTCAAAAACCACAAAAATGTCAAATTTTTGGCGATTGTCTGTTGTTTTTCAATAACTAACATACAGGAACAGATTAAAATAGAAATTTCTCTGAGACACTGGTGGATGAACGCCTGAAGAAACTCACAGAACCTGTTCCGGGACTTGGTGACCATTGTTTGTGTCCATGTTCAATTGAGATAAAATTGAGTATTTAACTTTTCTTCCAAATTTGGCTTCAATTTGATACTCAATTGTAGGAAAATACCCTTACAGATACTTGGGGAAAGCATACTTTATACAGATTACAGATTCAGTGTAAGCACAGGAGAATTAAAAGCACAGTTAATGAAAACCACACCCACCATGGCTGTGCAAGGAGAGTCGTAGTGTGAGAATTGTCAGGGATATACACACAACATTCGGTATGCAGTAAGGTACAGGGACGATTCTCCAACGTAGCCCATTTTTGGTGGCCTCTGGCAATTCCACGCATAGCCAACATTGACTGCAGTTGGCTTCTGTTGCAGTGGTGGCTATGCAGATGATGAATTTATTCTTGGCATCAGACACAGAGACACAGGTACTGACCATTAGTAAACAGGTTATTCTCTGTAATAACCAAAACAGAGGGGAACATAATATTGTTTTTCATCTTTAGGAAACTGTACTATGCCTTCAGTTTCTTCTCCCATAGCTACAAGTTCACCAGCCATAGGAGTAGGATGTGATGGACGCTGTACTCATATTTTGGCTCCAGGATTTAAGCTACGTGTACCAGTGCGTCTGAATCTCCCAGTTCTGTATGTAGCCTCTGTTGGGGCAGAGACATCCTCAGGGGTTAATTGTTGACAAGGTACCACTAAAAATTGAGGAACCCACATCTGCAGTTTTACAGCAAAAGATTCTCGAGTGATATTGTATACAATGATCTTTAACTCTCCCCTGTAACCACTCTGAATTATACCACCATACATTATGCCGTTCATTGCAAGACTTGAATGTGTTTTAATCCATTCATCCGCATTCAAATTTGCAACTATGGTGGAAATTTTGGCCTGTTGATCTGTCTGCTGATTAAATAGTCTGTCGAGAAAGCAGAGACACATGAGCATCAACATGAAAAACAGTGATAATGATAGTGTGCACCAGGATTCAGGTATCTTCCCAGGAGTGTTTTCCCTCTTTATGCCTAATTAACCATTTGTAAAGATAAAATAGAGAATGAAGGTGGTGTCGGTGAGATTGGACATCAAAAGACACAAAAGGAATGTGACATGGTGACCTGAGAAAGGAATAGAGAGAGAAATTAAAATAGACAAAAAGGGGAATCAGCAAGGAGATGGAGGAGGCAGAATAGAAGAGGGGACTCAACAAACAGGAGCAGTTGGTGCAACAGAGGGTGCATCGCATACTTGTACAACGCTTCTTTCATTTTCTAGTTACTTTTCCTTTTAAATTTGTGTCAGATTTAGTTAAGGTGTCAACGTTTTTTTAAATCTTTTTATATACTGAAAATATTCTTTGCTGTTTAGTAAATAACTTTCAGTATTTCAATTTGCTCTTGATAAGAGTATTAATTTTTAAATCAACAGACAACATTCAGTAAAACTAGTTAGTCTAATATGCAGCAGCTTCTTCTCTTCCACATGTGATTTGGGAATTTAATGCACTGTGAGACGAAATTTCCAAGTCTATGATGTCTTTAAGTTCCCTTTGCTCTTTTTTTTTTTAGCAGATATTGAAGAATGGGCTGGCTGGGCATGAAACTTTCTTCCACCAAGACCATCTTTTCATGATAAATACATTGTCCTGAGTTATTTTTATAGCTAATCCTCTTTCTTGTTTCCAATTGTCAATTATTACATATTTTCAACTTTATAATTTTGGAAGTTCGATGTGATTTCTCAAAAAAAAGAAAGAAAAAAAGAAAATGCTTGAGTTTAATGTGATTAGAATAACAGAGAAGTTTCTCCTGGTCAAGAGTATAAAATTTGGTCTGAGACCTTTAGCCAGTGCTGGTGACTCTCTGCTGGCCTGTCCTCATCCTATCCCTCCCTTCCCAAACATACACTTACACAGTCACAAGGCAGCTGAGGAGAGGAGAGCACAGACTTTAAACTCTGTATGTGTATATATTTTAAGATAGAACCTTGCTCTGTTGCCCAGGATGGAGTGTAGTGGCACTATCTCGGCTCACTGTAGGCTCCACCTCTGAGTTCAGGCGATTCTCGTGCCTCAGTCTCCCAAGTAGCTGGGATTACAGGTGCCTACCACTATGCCCAGCAAATTTGTGTGTTTTTAGTAGAGTCAGGGTTTTGACATGTTCCCCAGGTTGGTATCATACTCTTAGCCTCAAGCGAGCCACTGGCCTTGGCCTCCCAAAGTGCTGGAATTACAGGCATGAGCCACAATACCCGGCCTGTCTTTATATGATTTCTTTGGCTGTAAAGAGTATCAGTGGTGTCTGTACCTTTCTCAGTGGCTTAGGGTATCGTTTTTAGCAGAGGCTGTGGTAAAGTTTTGCTGGGAATAGGGGCACCAGAGGTTTAGTCATTGGATCCCAGTGGTGGCAGTGGTGAGCTTACCATGCCTGCTTTTGGGTCTCAAGGCAGTTATGCTGGCAGCAGTGTTAACAGGTCCAGGAAGACTAATTATTTGGCCTTCATGTGATTTGCTCAGGTGTCAGCAGTGAGCAAGGTGGGTGGGCAGCTTCTTGAGCCCCTGGACAGTGGTTATGGCATGGATGATGGCAGTAGCAACGACAAGAAAAACCTCTGACTCCCAAGCGTTCCATGCTGGTGTTGGTGTTTGCTGTGATGGGCTGGGAAGGCCAGTTTCTAGGAACACAGGTGGTGTATATATGTGGGTATCAGCTGCGTTAGTAGCTCCAGGTTCAGTGAGTCCATCCTCAGGTCTCAGAGAAGAGTGCTCAGGTGCCAATCTTGTTAGACTTCACTGGACTGAAGTCCATATTTTAAGCACTATCTGGCTCCACACACTCATTGGCCGTTCTTATCATCACTCTGAGCCCATTAACCCCGCAGCAGAAAAACATCAGGAAAGTTTTTAATATTTCTTCTTTGGGGCACAGTATGCAAGGAAAGGAATTGTATTAAGAGATGAAGTAAGTACTCTTATTAGAAAAAGGAACACTTTGGGGCCAGAAATGGACCAGTGTCCAAGGCATGCAGAAAGCAGGAAATAATTACCGGGTCATGGGATGGAACTATGGAGAGTGACTAAAGTTTCAAGATCATAAACCAGTCTTTAGTTGCTCCTAATTTAATTTAATGCAATCCTCACTCTTTGTCATCATTTGGTTTTAATGTATAAAGCTATGGGGTCTGCTTATTGTATGTTTTGTAGTATAATTTGGAAATTAATCTATCAGCTCTTTTTTCTCAGCCCAGTTGGTGTCTTGTCAACTCCTCTGCACGAATTGCTTCTTGTTTTCTCACAGTCCAGCCCTATGTTCTCATGAGCTGTGACCCTGGGGTATCCAGGCTCTGGTTTGCCTGCTGTGGAAAAAGTGCAGCTTTCTAAGCTGGTCACATATCTCTACATTAAATGTACATTGTCTTTTTAAAGCAATGTTCAGACATTCATATATTCTTTCTTCCTGAGGTTTAAGCACCACAAGCAGCAGTCATATAATGGAGAGATTCTCAACAACAGAGTGAGTCTCTGCCATAATTGGATTTATTATACATTAGAAACAGCAGTTACATACTAAATGTTTTACAAAGTGTTTTTTATAATTTTTATTTCCTTAAATATTGCAAATAGAAAATTTAGAGGTCCAACATTTATTTAAAATTTGGCTCTTGTAATTTGCAGTGGAAAGCTTATATGAGTATCTACCTCTAAACCAATTAATTAAAAATGCTCTGGGGTTAACTGGGCACCAAAGTATAAGAAAATTTTAATTAAGTGAAAAAGTCTAAGTAATGACCAACTAAGGAAATAAAAAGGAAATTATACTTTCAACCCCCTTTCCCCCAGTTGCTCTATGCTCTATTTTTTTTCTATTGCCAAGTTGTACAATTTTATTTTTGTCCTTGATAATTGTACTTTATTTTAACGTGACTAGATTATATTTTATTTTATTTTATTTTATTTTATTTTATTTTATTTTGTTTTATTTTATTTTAATGTGACTAGATTTTGCCTCACTCCAGGCTGGAGTACGGTAGCATGATTATAGTTCACTGTAACCTCAACTTCCTGAGTTCAAGTAATCCTCCTGCCTCAGCCTTCTAAGTAGTTGAGACCACAGTTACATGCTATAATGTCAAAATAATTTTTAAAACATTTTCAGTGACAAGGTCTTGCTTAGGCTTGTCTCAAACTTCTGGCCTTAATTGATCCTCTGGCCTCAGCATCCCTAGCAGCTGAAATTTCAAGTGTGAGCCACTGAGCCCAGCTCTTTATTTTTATAAATATTTATCTCTTTAGTTTTTTCTGAAGCATTTTCAACACCTTCACCTGAACTTTCAGGCTTTCAACTCACAGTTGATTTTATCCATTTTGCTATTCATCCTATTTATTCTATTGCTTATATACTTTTGTAACATATTTAATATTTTGAGTTTTAAATTCTTGATACTTATATGTATGTATTTTTAGTTGTCTCTTTTGCAAGGCTGCGATTCTCTCTAGAGAAGAGAATGGGCTCTATGCTTTCTTGAGAAAAGCATTTTATAACATGGGAGTAAAACAGACCCTGTGGAAAATAAAATAAAAGGCATTTTAATCATGATTTTTTATAAATTGCTATTTGGGAGACACAAATTTAGCAAGAAGCTATATCATGTTCCATTCAGATGAGGTTAGGGAGGGACTTATAAAGTTTTACTGCAAGTTTACACAAGTGAAAGATTTTAGCACAGTCTATGATGGACAATGTTTGATTGCCAGCTTAGACTGTATCTAGGCAATCATCAGCTTAATTCAGCACAGCTTTCTCTCCAGGAGGTTTGTGATCAGGCTCAGTATAAACAATCCAAGTCAAATGCAGTTGCCTTTTTAGGACATCTGTAATTTTCCCAGTTCGAACAGGTAAAATTCCACCTGGGTGTGTATGAGTATTAATTCAACTCCTCATGTCCTCCTAGTTGTCTTTAGAGACCTCTCAAATAACTATCTCCATTTTGGATTTCTTTTAATTAGAAATAAAGAGCGCAAGGATTATCACTGGTTGGGAATATAGAAAAATAGTGCCCACCTGTGATTCATCGGACCCCAGTCAGAGAGAAAAGGCCAAGATATGCCTGACAGAAAGGCTTGAGGACCTTTAGGTAATTTATTCCTCAAAAAGAATTGGTTCACACCTGTAATTCCAGCACTTTGGAAGGCCAAGGCGGGCAGATTATTGGAGGTCAGGAGTTCAAGACCAGCCTGACAAACATAGTGAAACTAAAAATACAAAATTTGCTAAACATACTAAACGTACAAAAATTAGCTGGACATGAAGCTGGGTGCCTGTAATCTCAGCTACACAGAAGCCTGAGGCAGCAGAATCTCTTGAACCCAGGAGGTGGAGATCGCAGTGAGCCAAGATTTTACCAATGTACTCCAGCCTGGGTGACACAGCAAGACTCTGTCTCAGAAAGAAAAAATTGGATAAAGAATTGCCCTAATGCTGGGAATTTTACCTCATAGGTAGTAAAAATATTTACAGAATAAGGCCCAGGTGTAGCCATAAAGTGGCATTACAATTCTTTCATTCTAGATAAGAAACTAACTTAAAAAAAGAATAGAAATTCTAAGGTAAGAGACAAAACTCTGGGAGGATTTACATCTAAGGTAAAGGCTCAATCACAGGACACCAGAAGAAGATTGAGAATGCAGCTTCCTTTCTGCCCTGCATCCATTGTCAATAGACTTTCCCTGGCCTTCTCCTTTTGACTTTGGTCATTTTATTTTATAATGTTTTTTTCCACATAGACCTGATGCAACTCCAGAGTTGGAAGAAAAAACAACAATGTCCTAATAGTTGCTTAGAGGAAACCTCAGCAAGTGAAGCAGAAGTTGATTTATTTTTTGTAAAATCATAGAAAGGTATTCATCCTCCTGATCTCTGCAACTGCTTTTTAAAGAAATCTATATTTCCAAGACTGTCGCTATGCTTTGTGAAAATACCTTCAAATTATTAATTCTGCAAGTTCGAATGATCTATCTTCACTCTTTCCTTGGGTTAATATTAAAATGAACATATGCTCTGAGAAAAATGGACCTGGGTGTCTTATCCGGCAGCCAGAAACTATGACTGCTTTTCTCTTCTTCCTCATACATTATGCTGCCGACTCTTTAGGATTTCATAATTCAAGGAGAAATGTTAGAGTCTGTATCTCATTTAAGCTTACACAAGTGAAATAAAAAGAACCACAACCACAACTCCGATTTTGTAGTAGAATGAGATTTTCATATAATATTCGACTCTAGCATTTACTATTTACGAAAAATAAATATTTCCCCTCCTCTCTGGATAAACACATTCTGGGGAAGAGCTCTCAGGGAGATGGAGAAGAGCTGTCTCTTCTTCTTCTGATTTTCAGTTGTTCCAGCAAATGTCTCACAATATTCTTTACATTGAAGCTGCAGGAAATGAACCAAAACACCAAGTGCCTTAGTTGGGCCCTGCTGCTGAGGAAGAGGCTGTGTTTGAGCTGGTCTCAGTTTGCCCTGTCACTGACATAGGACTCTGTACTGGGGCCCGGCTACTAGATGGAAGGGCTAAATTATGTTGGGACTTCCCTCAGAATTATGGCTCACCCTCCTCCCTCATCTGCATTCTGAGCTCCAGGCACTGTGTAGAGCACTCCGTTCATTGACAGTTCCCATGTATCCCTGATATGTGAGTCATCAGCACGGCTGCACTTCACAGAGGACAAAATGAAATCGAGGGGAGGAGAGGCAACTCTCGCCACCTGCAGGACTGGTCAGTGGTGGAGCCGGGATCCCAGAGTCAGCTTTTAGGATCACTTCACTCACATTAAGCCCAAAACTTCACTGAGCCTTTTAAAATAAAGGGATACTGATTGTCCCACCTCACAGCCCTCGGGTAAAGCTAGATCAGGCTCAATGTGGAGGGCACTGAGCACAGCACAAGTTGCATGTGAGTGGGGACTGTCATTGTTTCCTGGGGCCCTCAGGTTTGGAGGTTTCCTGCCATGTAGTGACAGCTGGCTTAGGGGGCATTAGGGGAGGGGCTTCCCCACAGTTTGTTGCAACAGCCACCTGGCTCAACCAGGAATGTTCCAAAGTCATCCAGATAATTTCCCAGATGACCACTCAGTCATGTGGTGTCCTACTACCCATGGGATACAGCCTAAACTTTTTATCATAGGAGGAATAATTTCTAGTGTCTGACAGCACAGTAGGATAACTACAGTTAGCACTAATTTTTAGTATATTTTAAAATAGATAGAAGAGATGGCTTTAAATTCTCCCAACACAAAGGAAATTTTTCAAACACAAAGAAAATAATATCCATGTTTGAGGTGATGGATATTCTAATTACCCTGATTTGATCACTGTACATTGCATGCATGTATCAAAATATCACTCATGCACCACAAATATATACTATTATTATGTATCAACAAAGGGAAAATTGCTAAAAGTGGCTCCCAACTAAAAAAAAAAAGTCAATTTCTAAGTCACAGAAAAAGATGCTCACTTTAAATTGTAAGTTCTGTGACAGAATGTAAAGGTTTGCATAGTCACTTTTACAGTCCCAGACTATCATGCATAGAACTGCCTGGCCCCGTGTGTATGTACACACAGAGATACAACCATGCTTCTCTAGTGGGGCATTTTTTTCTCCCTGAAACATTTGCCAATGTTTGGAAACCTGTCTTGCTGTCTGGTTATTTTAGTAAATTGATTGTGACTGTAATTAGGCCCAATTTAATGACTGTAATTAGGCCCACTTGCTGTCTGCACATAGATGATCAGGGGCAAGTAGTCGAAGATATAGTTAAAGACATGATGAAACTGGCACATGTGCCAGTACAGGTGTGGCACCGATTTGACACTGAGGCCATGTTTGAAAATGGTTCCCGGCACTAGAAGGATTTAAAACTCTTATAATGGAAACTATAGTAGTAATAGGAACCTGCTTACTGATCTCTTGCTTACTAGCTGTACTCATTCAAGTGGTAAAAGTTTTCATGGCAACTCTAGTTCACCAGAACGCTTCAGCACGAGTGTACTACATGAATCACTATCAATCTGTGATAGAGGAAGACATAGGTAGTGAGGAAGAAGGTGAGAACTCCCACTAATAAAATGAGTGAGAGTCTCAAAGGGGGAAAATAAGGGAGGAGACCAACCCTCATATTGTCTTATACCCAATTTCTGCCTCCAAAGAAAGAAGAAGTAAAAACTAGAAGGCAGAAATGAAATCCACAAGCAGACAGCCCAGCGCCACACCCTGGGCCTGGTAGTTAAAGGTCAACCCCTGACCTAATCGGTTATTTGCATAAAAAATGCACTGTGAAGATCCCTGTCCTGTTCAGTACCTTTCTAATTACCAGTGTATGCATCCCCCAGTCACATACCCACTGCTTGCTCAATAGATCGTGACCCTCTCATGCGGACCCCCTTAGAGTTGTGAGCCCTTAAAAGGGACAGGAATTGCTCACTCGGACGGTTCAGCTCTTGGGAAAGAAGTCTTGCTGAAGCTCCCAGGTGAATAAACACCTTCTTTCTTTAACTCAGTGTCCAAGGGGTTTTGTCTGCAGCTCTTCCTGTTACATTGGGAGAGGCCAATGTGGGCAGCGACATGGGGAGGCACAGATCCCTTAGTGGTGGCTGTGTGCTCTGAGGCGAATGTGGGGAAAATCAGACCTAAGATGCTTCATATGGCTGATAGTACCAGCTTTACAGCTGCAGCAGTCTGCGACAGGGGAAGGCATGGTCCTGGCTAAGCAGCATCTGAAACTCCCGCAATAGGACCAGGTCTGGTGGACTCAAGAGTGAAAGTCAGAGTGAAAGTGAACTGCAAGAGAGGAAATGAGAGTGAAAACATCAAAAGTGGCTCCTTTGAAAAGCATAATAAAGAATTTTAAAAAAAGAGTTAGAAGTGATTATAGGATGAAACTGAGTGTTCAAAAGTTAAGGACATACTGTGAATTAGAATAGCCCTGTTTTAGTGTCAGATGGCTTGCCAAAGGCACTATAGAAAAATTGGCCGTGTGTTTTAAGGTGGTGACTAGGGTCAGAGAACAGCCAGGACATTCAGACCTAGTCTTTATATTGACTCATGGCTAAATGAATGCAGCCCTGCCTAGCAGTTTACTGTAGAATGCTCGCAGCTCACGGCAAGAGAAAATCAGCTGCTCTGGCAGCTACAGAGTTAAAAGGAGACACAGAGGCTTGTAGCACCTCCCAGCCAAAAGTGAAAGTAAAATCAGCTGCCCCAGCAGCTGAAGACAAATGAAAAAATCTCAGAAAAGGCAGAAAAACCGGTTTTGTAACAACCACAGAAAAGAATAGAGACCGCTCCTCCTTACATTCCAATCTACCCCCTTTACCAAGGTAACTGTCCCTAAGGAGTTAAGTTCAAATGGATACATGCTGCCAGTCTCACCCGAGAAGGTGAAATGAGAGCGAAAATCAGGCAGGCCGTCTCAGGTCTGGTCGTGCATAAGATATGCTCATGCCTCTTAAGAGGACAGGAGGACCCCCACTAGGACCCAGATGATGCAGTCCAGATTCAGCACCTACAAAGGTGCCGAGAAGCCCATCTGCAAAGGCTAAAGGATGGTAAAAGAAAAAGGCAATCAATATTTTTAAAAATCTCAGACATGCTTCAGGGTGCAGATAAAAGCACAGCAAGTTCTATGAAAGACTTTGTGAGGCATTTTTATTGTACACTCCGTTTAACCCTGAGGCTACTCAAAAATCAGTGCAGGGTGAATCCAGCACTTGTAAGGCAGACCCAAGGAGATATCAGGCATAAATTGCAGAAGTTACAAGCTCCGTAGGCGAGAATGCTACTCAGCTTATTAAAGTGACAACCAAGGTGTTAATTAACCGAGATGAGGAGGCAAAGGAAAAGGCTGATCACAGGCTTAAGAAAGGCTAACTTACTAGCAGCAGCCCTTCCGGGAAGAGGAGCTGGCTTTACAAGGAGGCATGGACGCGGGCGTGAACGTAGTCATGAAAAAGGCTAGTCTGGACAGGAGTGTGAAGGCCAGCCGAGGCTAGAGAGAGATTAATGTGCATGGTGCAAAAGGAAAGACACTGGAAGCATAAATGTCAAAGAAATAATGAAAATGATCAGGGCAATAGTAAAAGAAACAAAAAACAAACCAAAAAAACCCAAAAAAACAGAACCAAAAAATCACACACACACACCAGCCAAGGGCTACTACACGCAGAAGAAACCCAAGAACCACTGCACCTGCTGTAGAAGGCAGAATAAAAAGTGTCAGAAAAAAGCTCAAATCTCCTCTAAAAGTGTCAATATTTAAGCTTTTATATAAGCCAAGAGGAAAGATGGCTTAGTCCTGAAAAAAAGCAGGCTGTTTGTGCACTTTCTACTCCAACCACCCGGTGTCAAGTAAGAGAGTTTCTAAGAGCAGCAAGGTTCTGCCGCGTTTACAACCCAAATTTCTTGCTCATGGTCAAGCCATCATACCAAGCCACTAAGAGGAGGAAAAAAGGAGCCCCTCCTCTAGGAGGCCAAAGAGGAGAAGGATTTTAAAGAAATCAAAGAAGCCTTGACTCAGGCCCCAGCTTTAGGACTGCCAGATCTAACTAATCAAGCTTTTCTTCTTGTATGTCCACAAGTGAAAGGGAGGCCATAGGGGTTCTGACTCAAGCCATAAGGTCATGGCATCGCCTGGTGGCATATTTATCCAGGCAATTAGATTCTGTTGCACTTGGATGGCCTCCTTGTCTTAAAGCACTAGCAGCCACTGCCGTACTGGTGCAGGAAGCTAGTAAACTAACTTTAGAGACTGTGAATACCCTAAATCCGGCTACCTTACTCTCATCGAGTCAGTGCCAGGAGGACCGTTTCATTGTGGTGTGGACGTGGTAGATGAAGTGTTCTCAAGCCAGAGAGATTTGACAGATCAGTCCCTCAGGGACCCAAACATTGAATATTCTACTGATGGAAGCAGTTTCATACTAAAAGGAGCCCGCCAAGCTGTGTATGCAGTGGTGACTTTAGACTCAACAGTAGAGGTGCAGTCTTCATCTACAGAAACTTCTGATTAGAAAGCAGAACTAAGAGCTCTGACAAGAGTTCTCTGGCTAGCAAAAGACCAAAAGACCAATATTTATACAGGTTCCAAATATGCTTCTGCCACTTTGCATGTTCATAAGGTTATTTACAAAGAAAAAAAGAAGACTTTTAACTGCGGAAACAAAGAAATAAAGTACAAGGAAGAAATCCTACAGCTCTTAAACGCTGTATGGGCCCCAAAAGTGACGGTAGTGAAGTCCTGCAAGAGGCAGCAAAAAGCAAGAACACTAAGGGCTAAAAAAGATACGAAGGCAAAGAGGCAAAGAAGGCTGCAATGACAACTCCACCTAAAGAAGATGCCTTAGCTATGCCTCTCCTCCCGGAGATTCCCCTCCTGGAGATCCCAATCTTCACTCCAAATAACAGAGCTTGGCTTCCCCAGGAAAATAAGAACTACATTGAAAGAGGATAATACAAATTCTTCAATGGGAGGCTAGCCATACCTGAAATGGTGACCCCCAGATTTGTAAAACAATTCCACCACCGAACTCAGATTAAAAAAAAAATAAAGACATTATTAAGGCATCATTTTTATCTGCCATGGCTCATTGCTATTACTCGGGCCATTTGTAAACTGTGTTTAACTTACACTCGGAACAATCCACGACAAGATCCTACTCGGCCCATGGGAGTTCAGGAAAAAGGAGCCATGCCCTGTGAAAAACTGCTAATGGACTTCACTGAATGACCCTGAGACGGGGGCTATCAGTACATATTGGTGTTCATTTGCACCTTTTCAGGATAGCTCAAGGCCTTTCCCACCAGGACAGAGAGGGCACTAGACGTGACCAAGGCGTTAAGAGACATTGTTCCCAGATTTGGGCTGCCTCTAACTCTAAGATCAGAGAATGGACCAACATTTGTGGCTAAAATAGTTCAGGACTTAACTCGACTATTAAAAATAAAATGGAAATAACATACAGCCTACAGGTAGCAGATCTCAGGTAAAGTGGAGAGCATAAACTGGACACTCAAGCAGCTGTTGAAGAAATTTTGTCGAAAAACTCATCTGAAGTAATATCAGGTCTTGCCCATGGTCCTCTTATGAGTCAGGTGCACCCCCACCAAAAAACTGAGTATTCGCCCTCTGAGATTTTGTTCAGCTGCCCACCCCCCAGAAAAATCAGATTCAGGGTAATCTCTGTAAATTGGGAAAACTAACTTTAAGAAGGCAAATGCAGGCTTTAAGTATGGCTATACTAAAATGCATGGTTAAGTATGTAAAAAAATGCCTATAAGTCTAACAGACCCAGTACACCCTTTCAAACCTAGGGACTTCGTTTAGGTAAAAAATGGAATTCAACCACTCTAGGACCCATATACGATAGGCGCCATATTGTAATCATGTCTACTCCCACTGCTGTTAAAGTTGCAGGTGCCACACCTTGGATTCACCATAGCCATCTAAAACCAGTGACAGTAGCGAGTCGTGATGACAACCTGTGGATTAGCCAACAAGACCCAGATTGCCCCACTCGAATAGCCCTATGGCAAATCTCAGCCACCGGTAAAAAGGACAACCGCCCTGCTCTGACCACACTGGAGGCTGGTCAGTCTAAGCATGGCTGAAGCTTAAGGATTCTTCAAACTCTGCTCTAGTCACATCCCGGAAGCTGACTAGTGTACACACAGCCGAAGCTAAGAGGACCATGTCCAGATAAGTAAATGTGAATACAATTTATAACCATAGTTACAATTCTGTCAATACTGATTGTTCCGTTGTTATGTTATTACTGCAAATGCTGCAAATGTCTATGCCCAGAGGAAAGTTTTTGTGCCCATGTGTAGTGTAAGCATGTTTCTATTACATACAACAATGTTGTTACCATTTATGCTTATACTGAAAGGGGATAAATCTCTTGAAGGATGTCCATGCTGTGTACACATTACCTGGATAAAAAATACCACAGTTAAAACTCTACTGTACCATACCTACTATGAATGTACAGGAAGCAAATTAGGAATATGCATATACAACCAGACCACCTATTCAGTCTGTGACTGAGGAAATAATCAGCTATATGTATGTTATGAGCCTGGGCTCTTACCCTATTAATTCTATTTTGAGGTAAATATTATATCAGAGGGAGAAACAGAAGGAAAGCTTATAGCTCAAACCAAAGAAATCCCACCCTTCTAAAAAGGGCCTATTTCTTCTTTGATGACTGCCATGCCACGTATGTTCATAATCCTAAAAACCAGATTGTAAGACAAGGACATGCGATCCTTTAAATTTTACTATCTTAAAGCCAGAGCTACCTTTTTGGTCTACAGGACAGACAGCACTATTACCAGTTGATAGACAAGGAGCAGGTCTTGGAGTTCCACTACTAATTGTCAAAAATACTATAAGGACTCAAATGCATCCAACCCCTCAATACCAAGTCATTCTGTAAGCATTTTGATCAGCCAGTGCCCGAGGTTCCCCCATCAACCAAAAACTTATTTGCTCAACTAGCTGAAAACACAGATGGCAGCTTAAAAATTTCTTCATGCTATGTATGTAGAGAAACTAATATGGAGAATGAGTGGCAATGGGAGGCAAAGGAATTAATGCCACAAGATAACTTCACTTTGCTTAACCCTGCCAGTGAACCAACAGCCTCAGCCAGTGTTTGATTGTTAAAAATCTCCATAACTGGAAAGTACTGTATCACTCGATGGGGAAAGGCTTTCACAGACGCAGTAGGAAAAACAACCTTCCTAGGGCAACAGTATTATTACGAGACTAAAAACAAAACTCTATGAAGAAATGCCCAGAATGACTCCTACTTACCAGATCCAAACACTTTCTCTGGATTCCTTACTCTAAGCTGCACTTGGCATCAGGTAGATGATTCAAATGCTTGAAAGGCACCCTCTGGCCTATATTGGATCTGTGGAGCATGGGCATATTGGCAACTGCCAGCAAAATGGGCAGGGACATGTCTGTTAAAAGCAATCAAGCCATCCTTCTTTCTAATTCCTCTAAAGCAAGGGAAATTCTTAGAATATCCAGTTTATAATAAAAATAAAAGAAGAACTAGAAAAAGCATAATCACAAAAGTAACAAAAATATCAAAAAAGATGTGGACACAGGAGACTAAAAAGATAATAAATGACCTCCTGAAAGAATCATGACATGCTATGGGCCAGCTACCTAGGTGCAAGACAGGTCATGAGGGTACTGCACCATAATCTATATCCTCAGCCGCATCATGAAGTTGCAGGCAGTCCTTCAAATCATAACCAATGAAATATCGAGGGCACTAGATTTATTGGCAATACAAGCAACACAAAAAGGAAATGCTATATATCAAAATAGGCTGGCTTTAAATTATCTCTTATCCTCCGAAGGAGGAATATGTAGAAAATTTAATTTAACCAACTGTTGCCTAGAAATCAATAGCCAAGAAATCAATATTAGTGGTCATAAAAATTACAGCTAGAATGCACAAGTTGGCCCAGGTTCCACTTCAGACTTGATCCAGGTAGTCCCCGGATTCCTTGTTTGGAGGATGGTTCTCAGCATTTGAAAAATTCTAAACCCTCATTAGTAGGTTCTTGCTTATTCTTTGCATCTGCCTTATCCTCCCTTGCCTTTTGTCTCTGTTTATTAGGAGTATTCAGTCAACTATGGAGGCAATGGTAGCCCAAAACACTACTGTACAGTCTGTACAGTTGATGCATTAACCAGATATCAGCCACCGCCAGAAGAAGAAAAAGCTCAGCTCCATGAAGACTTGGCAAATAATGGTGCTTTCTATTAACACCTCTGTTATAAAAAGCACCAATGGGGAGAATGGAACAGGAATTATAAGAGATTAAAGAGTGTGTAAGCAGAAACTCACTTGTGTGTAAGAAAACCCAACTTCTGTTGAGAAAGAGTAAGAGCTGGAGTCCTTTAAAAACTAACTGCCTGTTTTTCTGTGGCTAGTGATCCTTATCTCTCCTCCTTTCCCAGGGATTGTGAAGACCCTGTTTCCCAAGCTGTGAAGCTGCAAGGTCACTAGACAGATAAATTCAAGTCACAAAACAGGTTTTTCCTTGAAAAGTAAGAAATAATGTAATGCATGTCTCAATTGAATAACTGTCTTTGTTTCTTGCTTCTGTAGTATGATTCTCCCTGCACAAATCTCTCCCCACCCATGAAATGCTTAAAAGGTAACTTAACTCTTTGTTCAGGACTCATTCTTTGGATGTTAATCCACTGGACCAGTGCACCTAAATAATTAATAAATACCCTCCTGAACCCCATCGGCCTCTCTGATTTCTTAAAATTCCACTACATACAGACTTCTCTACTATTGACCCCCACATTCTTTTCTTCCACACAGGAAGTCCACATATAAAATCGTGTGTGAAACTATTCTATTTGAGGTGTATTTCTGTGCCCTAGGATCCAGATAATCCCTTACATTTTAAATTCTTGCTTTTTTGTGGCTCACAGTATGATGTTATCAAAAATTAGGCAAATATTCTGATACTTTCTTAATTTTACAAGGGGGAGAATTGTCCTTAGATAATTACATTCTGGAAAGGCCATAATGAGCAACTCTGGACCTGATTGATTGTCATTTTTGGGTCCACTGCAGGGCTGCATACTAAGGGACAGTGGTCATTCTGAGTTCATAGAAAAAACCTGACATGAGAGGGGACATTTTGCTAGACATGCCACCTGGTGCACAGAGCTGAAAAATGAGACCTGCTGGTGACGTGCTTATCAAGCTTAGGGTCTTGAGGGCTTTTTAAATTCAGTGCTTTAAAAGCTGGCCTCACATCCTGAGTTCAGAAAAACCAAAATTTTTTGTTTTCTATAGACTTTTTGGTTGAAAATCCCTTTTCCATGGACTTTTAAACTAGTTATTTACAGCACAAGCCCCATGTCTAGTAACAAAGGTGTCAGCCATCTTCAAAATGTGTTTTTATTAATACTTTATTTTTAAGCTTTATTAACTAAAGATATATTTATTTATAGTCACTTTGAGTCTCCAGGATAAATATTAGTCTTAAATTGTTATTTCTCATAAAGTCTTGGAGGTTGCTAAGTTCTACTGTTTTGCACGTAAAGAATCAAGAAACTCTTTAGTACAATATTAGAAAATACTTGTATTTACTTAGATTTTATAGTACTATTTTTATTTTTCTTTTTATTTCTTAGATATAGGTACTCAAATTTCTACAAACTGACAACATAATATGCTTACTTGAAAATATTACCAGAATAATTGAAGTTGATAATTAAAAATGAAAGATAAAAAATGTGAGAATTGCTGAAGCCTTGTGGTGGGTATGTATGATAAATGTTAGTTTATAATTCTCCCTATGTTTGCTAAGATTTTTTATTTTCATAATATCTTTTAAATATATAATTTAAACATCTTCTCACATGTTTTATCAATAAATTTAGGAGTTCAATATTGAATTTGAGTGTTGAAATTGGTTACAAATGAGGGACAAAAGAGCAGCTTTCTAATTGGCCATACACTAAAAGTACCAGCAACTGTGGACAGGGGTGCCACTAACACACTTTATTTAACATTTTTGCTGTGAGTCATTTTTGATAAGGAATATTTTAACCTTATGATGACATCATAACAAGTTTCTAATAATCAGTGACTCAGAGTGGTCTTCAATAGTGTACTATTATTTAATTTACATTTCTGGCCTGGTAAATCTAAGCAGGTAATTTATGTCTATTAATACATTTTACAATTGTAATTTTTTTCTTATAACTATTTGCCATGAAGATTTTAATGTTATAACTATATCTTTGTCTTTTCCTCTTTATTTAACATGCCTTGAGATGAACAATAAATGGGTTTGGTTTTACAGTCTGTGACTTAGTTCTCCAAAAGTCAACAGTTTCATTTGGAAACATTTTAGAGGGATATAATCTTATAACAAAACCATCACATGTTTTAAGTGTACAATTCCAAGTTCTTAAAGTGTATTTACAGACACCCATAACCACAATCTAATTTTGAAATCACCTTATCACTATGGAAAAAGAAATTAATCTCTTTTGTACTTACTGATTTCATTACCCTGGTCATAGGCAATCATTAGCCTGTTTTTATATATAAGCCTTTTATTAAAAGTTATTTTAAGTGAAATCATAAATTATCTGCCCTTTTGCATTTGGTTTATTTTACTTACTTTAGTGATTTTGAGGTTTTTTCCTGACATAGCAGGTATTATTACTTCATTTTCTTTGTTTGGCACATAGTATTTTATTGTATGGACACACCACACGTTATTTTTTCTGTTATTATTTGATGGATATTTTGGTTTTATCCCCTTTGGGCTATTACAAATACTGCTCCTTTGATCATTTACATCTGATTCTTTGTGTAGTCATAGGTTTTCATTTCTTTTGAGTACGTAACAGAGTAAAATGTCTCAGTCATATGGTGATACTATTTATAGCATTTTGAATAATTGCCAAATTGTTCTTTAAATCGGTTGTTTTTTACACTCCCACATACAATGTGTGAGGCTTTCATATTTTTGATATCTTTGGCAACCTTTTTTATTGCCTTTTACAGGTCTTCTAGTAAGTATGTCATTGAGCTTTTGATTTGCATTTCTCTAAACTAATAATGTCACATATTTTAAATTTAATGACAAATTTTGCTTCTTATCTGTAGAAATTTTTAATTCAAATTCCTTGCACATTTTTCAAGTAGTCAATTGTCTATTTATTATTGATTTATAAGACTTTGTGTATTTGAGCAAGATGGCTGAATAGACAAACCAAGGTGGAACAGCTGACACCAAGGGACCAGGATGACTGGCACACTCTTAACCGAGGGCAGGTACTGATAGTGATGGAGGAAAGACACAACATCTGAACTTAAGATTCAGAAGCTGGGAACCCTGCACAGGGCTAAAGCACAGTGGAACTGATTTCTGGCCCCCAGTGACTCTGAGAAAAACAGGTGAGTTTAAGTGGCAAGGAGCTACCTGCTTTCCTGACTGGCCTCTGGAATCCCACTGGCAGAGACCCTCTGACCATCATGGAAAATGAGTTGAAAGGAAGAGCTGCTTAGAGAAGTGACAGGGGCAGCACACCAGCCAGTGCACAGCCAAGAGGGTTTATTGTGGGAACATGTGTAGTGAAGCATGTCCAGGGATGCCCACACCAATAAGCTTAACTTGCTCCCATAAGAGACGTTAGCCCTAGGGGAAATTTTGGACAAAAAGTCTGCAGGGTGGTGGCCCATCAGATGGGGCTGTTTTGACCTGAGCTTGCGTTGGTGTGCTGGCCTCTCCTGCGACCCCAATTCGGCCCTGCATGCTTGCAGTGCAGCCTTGAGTACCCTGGGGGCCTGCATCATAGATCCTGAACTGGCAGATCATGTCTGACTAGTAGACAGCTCCAGTGGGGTGACCCCATCCAGGCATCAGCCTGCCTGCTGCCTCTCCTCACTGCAGCTTCCCCCCAAGGCCCATTGCCACCCCACACATCACTATGCTGGTGTGTGTGTGTGTGTGTGTGTGTGTGCATGGAAGGATCTTGCTTTCCCTGTCCTGTCAGTGCACATGTGCATATGCATTCTGCCCTGGCACTGCTGTTGGTAGGAGTGTACTCCAGGCCCCCTCTCCTGCTATACCACCACTGCAGACAGAATCTTGGGGGAAACAGAGGCCATCTGCCCCACAACACCAGCACCCTGCTCCTTTGTCAACACTGTCATTTGAGTACAACTAAGCACAAAAAACAGCATACTCTCCTCAGCCCTGAGCAGCCACCTTCGCCTGCATGAATACACACAAAACCACTTGACTGAGCCAACCTTATAACACAATTAAACCCTTAAGGTCATCAAGCAGAATAAAAGGAAAAATCCAAAAGTTGACAACTTCAAATATTAAAGAAATATCACCCCAGAAAGATAAGAAAGAACAAGCACAAAACCTCTGACAACTCAAAAAACCTGAGTTCCTCTTTTCCTTCAAATGGTCACAGTACCTCTCCAGTAAGGTTATAAATCAGTCCAAGATAGCTAAAATTACAGAAATCAAATTCAGAATATGAATAGAAATAAAGATCATTAAAATGCAGAAGTAACTTGAAACTCAATTCAAAAACGTTAAGAATCATAATGAAATGATACAGGAGCTGAGAGACAAAAGAGCCAGTATTAAGAGCATAACTAACCTGAGAGAGCTAAAAAAATCACACTAAATTTTTTTATAAGAAATTCACAACTATTAATAGTAGAATAGACAAAGCTAAGGAAGAATCTCAGAGTTTGAAGACTGTTTATGTGAAGTAAGACATACAGACAGAAATAAAAAAGAGTAATAAAAACCCCCAAGCCTCTGAAAAATATAAGATTATGTAAAGAGACCAAAGGTATGACCCACTGGTGTTCATGAAACAGGTGGGGAGAATGGAAGCCATTTGAAAAACATATTTTAGGATATCATTCATGAGAACTTCCCCAACCTGGGGAATGCTGGCTAGAGAGGCCAGCATTCAAATTTAGGAAATGCAGAAAACTCCAGTAAGATACTTCATAATATAATAATCACCAAAACACATAGTTATCAGATTGTTCAAGCATGAAATAAAAGAAAAAATGTCAAATGCAGCTAGAGAGGAAAGGGAGGTCAACCACAAAGGAAAGATTATCAGTGTAAAAGTACGCCTTTTAGCAGAAATCCTACAAGCCAGAAGAGACCAATACCAATATTTAACCTCCTTGAAGAAAATAAATTCCAATCAACAATCTCGTATTTGGCCAAACTAAGCTTCATAAGTAAAGGAGAAATAAAGTTCTTTTTAAACAGGCAAATGCTGAGGAAATTCATTACTACAAGACATGCCTTACAAGAGCTCCTGAAGGAAGAACTAAATATAGGTGAAAAAAACCTTTATTAGCCACTAAAAAAACACACTGAGGTATACAGACCAGTTGCGCACAAACAAGTCTGCATAATAAGCAGCTACCATTATAATGGCAGCATCAAATGCACACATATCAACACTAACTATGAATGTAAATGGGCTGAATGTTCCAATTAAAAGGCAAACAGTGGGAAACTGGATAAAGAACAAAGAACCAATGATATGCTGTCATCAAGACTCATTTCACATGCAATCAGTTTCATAGGCTGAAAATGACGGGATAAAAATCTACCAAGCAAATGGAAAACAGCAGAAAGAATGGGTTGCAACCCTAAGTTTAGACAAACAGACTTTAAAACAACAAAGATTTAAAAAGGCAAAAAGGCATTACAAAATGCTAAAGGGTTAAATTCAACAAGAATATATGTATTCATATTTAAATATATACATTTTAAATATATACACACCCAACACAGGAACACCCAAATTCATAAAGCAAGTTCTTAGAGGTCTTTAAAAAGACTTAGATTCCTACACAATTATAGTGAAAAACTTCAACAACCCATTGACAATATTAGATTATTAAGGCAGAAAATTAACAAGATATTCAAGATCTGAATGCAGCACTGGATCAAATGGATGTAACAGACACTTTCAGAACTCTCCACCAAAAACAACAACATATACGTTCTCATTGCCACATGGCACATACTCTAAAATCAACCACTTAATCGACATAAAACTGTTCTCAGAAATTATAAAAGAATTCAAATTATGACAACCACTCTCCGAGACCAGAGTACAGTAAAATTGGAGGTAAAAGTTGAGAAAACCAATACTCAATACCATATGATTACATAAAAATTAAATAACTCACTCCTGAATGACTTTTGTGTGAATAATGAAATTAAGGCATCAATCAAAAAGTTATTTGAAAGTAATGAGAACAAAGACACAACCTACCAGAATCCCTGAGATGCAACTAAATCAGTGTTGAGAAAAAAACTGATGTTGCTGAACACCCACCACAAAAAGTAACAAAGATCTCAATTTAACCACTCAATATCACAACTAAAACATCTAGAGAATGAAGAGCTATCCAACCCCAAAGCTGGAAGAAGACAGAAATAACCAAAATCAGAGATAAACTGAGATTAGGACACACACAAAGAAACTAAAAGATTAATGAATCCAGGAGTAGGTTTTGTTTTAAATGTGGACTACTAGCTAGACTAATATAGAGGAAAAGAGAGAAGATCCAAACAAAGACAATCAGAAACAACAAAGGGGATATTACCACTGGCTCCTCAGAAATAGAAATAAACATCGGAGAATATGATGAACACCTTTATGCAAAAAAACTACAACACCTAGAACAAATAGATAAATTCCTGGACATGTACACCTTTCCAAGACTGAACCAGGAAGAAATTGAATCCCTGAACAGACCAATAACATGCTCCAAAATTGAATCTGTAATAAATAGACTATCAATTTTAAAAAGCCCAGGAAAAGACGAATTCCCAGCCAAATTCTACTGGATATGCAAAGAAGAATTTGGTATCATTCCTACTGAAACTCCCAAAAATTTGAGGAGGATCATCTTCCTCACTCATCCTATGAGGCCAGCACCCTTCTGATATCAAAACCTGGAAGAAAAGCAAAAGAAAGAAAAATTTCATATCTTTGATGAATATTGATGCAAAAATTCTCCATAAAATACTGGCAAACCAAATCCAGCAGCACACCAAAAAGCCTATCCACCACAATCAAGTAGGCTTTTTCCCTGGGATGCAAGGTTGGTTCAACATATGCAAATCAATAAATGTGATTCATAATACAAACAGAACGAAAGACAAAAACCTCATGATTATTGTAATAGATGCAGAAAGAGCTTTCATTAAAATTCAAAACCACTTTATGTTAAAACTCTCCATATACTAGGTATTGAGGAAACATGCTTTGAAATAATAAAAGTCATCTATGACAAACCCACAGCCAACTTTATACTGAATGGGTGAAACTGGAAGCATTTTTCTTGGAAACTGGCACAAGACAAAGATGCCCTCTCTTACCAGCCCTGTTCAACATAGTATTGAAAATCCTGGCCAGAGCAATCAGACAAGAGAAAAAAATAAAGGCATTCAAATAAGAGGAGAGGAAGTCAAACTACCCATTTGCAGATTGTATTAGTCAGTGTTCTGTGTTTATGGATTGGAAGAATCAATATTAAAATGTCCATGCTACACAAAGCAAGCTACAGATTCAACGCAATTTCTGTAAAAATACCATTGACATTCCTCACACAAATAAATACAACAGCTCTAAAAAATCTTAAATTTATATATAATCACAAAAGACCTAGAATAGCTAAAGCTATCCTGAGCAAAAAGAATAAAACTGGAGGAATCCCATTACATAGCATACATTATTACATTACACAAAATTATACTACCGATGTGTAGTAACCAAAACAGCATAGTACTGGCATAAAAACAGACACACAGGAAAATGGAGCAGAATAGAGAACCCAGAACCAAACCATCCATCTACAGTGAACTCATTTTTTACATAGGCACCAAGAAAATATATTAAGAATAAAAACTCAGTCTCTTCAATAAACAGTGATGGTAAATCTGGATATCCATATGCAGAGGAATAAAACTAGACCTCTATCTTTTGCCATGTGCAAAAACTAAATCAAAATGGATTAAATATTTAAATGTAAAACTGCAAACTATGAAACTTCTGAAAGAAAACATTGGGGAAATTCTAAAAAACCTTGGATTAAGCAAAGATTTCTTGAGTAACACCTCACAAGCACAGGCAACCAAAGCAAAATGGAAAATTGGTATCACACCAAGTTATAAAATTTTGCATGGCACAGAAAAGAATCAACAAAGTCAGAAAACAACCCACAGAATGAAAGAAAATATTTTCAAACTACCTATCTGAAAATGGATTTGTAACCAAAACATAGAAGGCGCTCAAATAACTCTATAGAAAATAAAATCTAATAATCCTATTTTAAAAAATAGGCAAAATATGTAAACAGACATTACTCCAATAAAGACACGCAAATGGCAAATAGGTATATGAAAAGATGATCAACATCATGAATCATCAGAGAAATGCAAATCAAAATTACAATGAGCTATTACCTCACCCCAGTTAAAGTGGGTTTTAGCTAAAAGGCAATAACAAATGCTGACAAGCATGCGGAGAAAAGGGAACCCTCATATGCTGTTGGTGGGAATGTAAGTTGGTGGAACCACTATGGAGAACAGCTTGAAGGTTCATCAGAAAACTAAAAATAGAGCTTCTGTACAATCCAGCAATTTCACTGTTAGGTATATATCCAAAAGAGAGAAAAATCTGTGTATTGAAGTGATAGCTGTACTCCTGTGTTTACTGCAACACTATTCACAATAGCCAAGATTTGGAAGTAACATAGGTGTTTATCGACAGATGAATAAACAAAAAAGTGGTACATATACACAATGTAGTACTATTCAGACATAAAAATGAATGAGATTCTGTCATTTGTAAAAACATGGGTTAAACTGAAGGTCATTTTATTAAGTGAAATAAGCCAGGTATAGAAAGACAAACTTCACACGTTCTCACTTATTTGTTAAAGCTAAAAATTAAAACCAAAGAATTAATGGAGATAAAGAGTAGAATGATGGTCTCCAGAGGCTGAGAGAAGTAGTAGAAGGTTGAGGGCGGGGAGGTGGGAATGGTTAATGGGTATAAAAATATAGTTAGAAAGAATGAATCAGTTCTAGCATTTGACAGCACAAGGTGACTCTAGTTAAGAATAATTTAAGTGTACATTTTAAAATAACAGAAATTGTATAATTTGGTTATTTGAAATCCAATAGTAATACTTCATGTGATGAATACCCCATTGACTCTGATGTAATTATTACACATTGTATGACGGTATCAAAATATTCTATATACTTCATAAAGGTATACACCTACTATGCACCCAGAAAAACCAAAAATAAAAAAATTAGGATATACTTTAAGACAACAAATACTATTACTAGAGATGAAGATAGATTATAATTAGAAGGATAAATTCATGAGGAAAATAAATTAACATATATGAATGTAACAAAAGTTCACAGAAGTACATAAAGCAAAACTGATAGAAATAAAGGCAGAAATAGTTGCAACAATAGTTTCAACAATAAAAATTGCAAGCTTCACTTCCCCACTTACACTATTGGGTAGAAGAACTAGACATAAGAGAAACAAGGAAATAGAAGACATGAATAACATAAACCAAATAAAACTAGAGATATATGGAGAACTCTTCACCCCAAATCAGAATGTATATTCTTCCCAAATGCACATAGAACATTCTCTAGAATGGAGAATATGCTGCATCATAAAAAAAATCAATAAAATTGAAAGATTGAAATAATAAAATGAATGTTTTCTAATCACAAAAGAGAAAATTAGAGACCAAAAAAGCAAGAAATTTGGGAAATGCAAACATGTGTGCATTAAATGACACAATCTTAAATAATTAATGAATAAAAAATGTACAAATAGTGTCAGAGAATATTTTAACATAAATAGACATTTAGACAAAACATAATAAAATTTATGAGACTTAGTGAAAGTTGAGCTCTGAGGGAAACAGCAGAATTACTTTATAAAAAACAAAGAAATCTTAAATTAATAGCTTAACGCTTATGGAAGCATTTAAATAAAAATGAACTACCCAGTTCACCTGGAGCAAACACTATCAGTGGGGTAAAAAGGTAGTCACGCTGACAATCGTAGGAGGAAATACTTGGAAACAAGACACTGAGAATTAGGATAGTGATAGTACTCCTTGGAATCTAGAAAAAAATGGGGATGCTCTAGGCTAGACAGATTCTCAGGAAAAACGCTAAAACACTAAGCTCCCACCTGTTTGTCTTTTAATCTCTGCATGAACAGAAAGTATAGGCACAAGCAGAGTTAGGACTTTATGGCACACATAGAGATTCTAGATGAAAGGATCAGAAGATTCATATTTTGAGAGGGCTAAAATATCTACAGTCTTGCTGTCCTATTAAAGTTTAGTGAAACTATATTGCAGATTCGCATTGCTCACTTCTTCCAGTAATCCAGTGATCTAGTAAAGCTTGATTTTGCCATTTGAATCCTCTGATAAATGAAGTCAGCCTCTAACTTGAGGTACTTTTTGGGATGTTGGAGTTATGGTCACCATGACGTTACTATTGGTTACACTAATTTGTAAGTCAACAATGAGCTTGCTACAGAGCTGTGAAACTGAATTCTGACCCCTGAGGGAGGTCGTTAGCTTGATCTTTCTGTTTTTAGATGGGTCGATTTGAACTCTATGAAAAAGACCACAGGAGGCCACTTGGTAAATAGAAATAACATATTCTAGAAGGAAATTAGACTAAAATAGAAACGGCACTAAAGTAAAAATTAAAATTCATATTCGGTAGAAATTTTATGCCACCCTCTACTATCTCAAGCAAACTTTCTGACTCTGTGGGACTCCCCAATTTACTGAATATTTTCTAAATATCTGTTCCTGGTTCACTAATGGGCCAGGGAAGATGACACCTCATGGTGTTCACTGGGCTGGTGTGGGTGTTTGATCTCATTGTCAGCCAATGAGGAACCTGAATCTGGGGTGATTACTTCACTCAATTGTCAGAACTGAGAGTTCCGGGTTATTGCCACATTCTACGTGTTTAGGCTTCCATATTGAAAATGATTAACTGTCTAATTAAGAACATCTTCTTTGGGGCTGCAAACTGAAATTTATCTTAGCTGCTGATCTAATTGTCAGGCCATTAATTTAGAAGTTCACAATTAGGGTTATGTCTCCAAAGAGATGAACAACAATCAAGCCTAAATCCCTGTCTACTGCAGAGGTCATCACTGCATGCCAGGTTGGTGGTTCTTGGAGAAAGTTGATCTACGTGTCCCATGTATGGGGAAGTCCCAGACCATTTCTGGCAGAATGACTGTCTTAGACTTTTGACCCGTTACTTGAAGTATTTGTCACTACTGTTGACACTTTCAGCATAAAGATCAGCTGACTCCAGCCACATTATGTGTTACTTGAAGCTAATCCATGTCATCTTTTAGGTATTTGAGACCGCTTAAATTCTCTCTTTTTTTTTTTTTTTTTTTGCTTTTATCACCATATCTATTAAAATGAGCCAATAGTCTCATTTTAACTTATTTTCCTCATCAGGGTCCACAGCTTTTGGTTAGGTAATGTGTTGATTAAATGGTTTATTAGTCACCTTCTTTGGTCCCAGAAGAGATTATCTCCTGTTGACTGTCTCTAAGATATAGATAACATTGTTATTGAGTAAAAGGAGCTCACTTCTTGAAGTGCTAGAAGCCAATACTATGACATCAGGTTTTTAAGAGAAAGCAATTTTATACTGAAACGTTACTCTCAAGCTCATTGCCTCCTCATGGATGTCATGGGCAAACTGAAGGGGAGTTGTGATGAAACAGGCAGTGAAAATTCAGACGGTGACCTCAGCAAGGTGATTCTGCCAAAACACCATTTGGCCATAATGATTCCACCAATTTAAGCCAGTTTGTTTATTTCATAAGTAGAGGGAGTTTCAGTGTTTTGGCAAGTTGTGTTTTTGTTTTTTTTTTCTTTTCTGTTATTCTGCAAGCTCAAGATTTTCTGTTAGATACTGGCTTTCTTTTAACTCTGCAGAAGTGTTGCAAAATGATTGGGGCTATAGGAATCTATTTTCCAAATCTGAGTTTCCACACTGACATTCCTGGGCAAGATGTGATTTCTCCTAACTGCAACCTCCAGGCAGCCTGGTTTGTATGATTTCTGAGTAGCAGCCCAGTCAAAAAAGGGGTTATGGAACTCCAATTTAGTTCTGATTATGGTGTATATAAACATTCTTGTCTCTATTACAACTGGATCTACTACATAAAATGTCTACAGCAAAATAGGAGGGGATCAGATAAAGGTACAATTATAAGTATTGGAATGGATCACATTAATTCTGAGGATATAGAAGGGGAGCAACAACCTGAAACCAGGGGAGTGAACGACTTAGATCTCAGGAGCTATGGGAAATGGATAGGCATGAATAACCTCTTTTCCTTCTGAATTGCCCCTGGCACACTCCAGAAAAGTCTGGCAATAATTTTGGGATAGGATGAGAGTAGGGTTAGTTAGACCAGGTGGAAGTGCAAAGACTAAGTTTATTTTTTCCATTCCATCCCCCATATCACCCTTAAGAATCCTTTGGGCTGGGCACAGCAGCTCACACCCAGCACTTTAGGTGACCAAGGAGGGTGGATAACGAGGTCAGGAAATCGAGACCATCTGGCCAACATGGTGGAACCCAGTCTGTACTAAAAATATAAAAATTACCCAGGCAAGGTGGCACATGCCTGTAGTCCCAGCTATTTGGGAGGCTGAGGCAGGAGAATTGCTTCAACCTGAGAGACCAAGGTTGCTGTGAGCTGAGATGATGCCACTGCACTCCATCTTGGATGACAGAGGAAGACTCCATCTCAAAAAAAAAAAAATCCTTTGTAATTATCCCATTTCTCTGCAATGTAGTAATGAAATTCTAGTGAGGAGCATGCGTTCTCAGTGCCCAGTTGTCTGAGGCCACAGTTGAGTTGCTTCAGGGAAAAAACAAACAAACAAAAAAAAACCAAAACGAAAACACAAAAGCAAAAGCAAAAACAAAAACAAAAAACCCTATTGCTTTTGTTTTTTTCTAAAAAGATTAAATGCCCCATGGTTTAAAATAAGCTGGCTCTACAAAACATTGAATTCATCTTTTATTTTCTCTGTGAGCAGAGGCTCCTCCTTCTGTTTTTCTACCATCTAGAGATGAATCTATATTTGTCAATATTGACATAAATTGGAGACATAAATCATGTAAGAACCCTAGACAAGCCTTCAAAATAATCTGAGTCTTGCTCGTTTCTCTTCTCAATTATGTTGTCAGAGAGAGCTACCTGAGATGAAGTCTCTCAGGAATAGTTAGAACATTGCACTTCTAGAGAAGATGGTGAGACAGGGCAAGACTCACAGTGAGAATAAAAGCTTCTTCTCAATCTTTCAGTGTATCTGTTTCTGGTAGATGAATCCAGAAAAGATTCCAGAGCCAGGGAAGAGCTATTTGAGAGGGTAGAATCACTGTAGATCAGAGTACTAGGTCATATGTTTATTAGTCACCTTCTTTGGTCATATTCTCAGTGCTAAGCCTCTGATAGGGCTTCAGAGCAATGTATGCCTGTGAAAATCTCTAATTCCATTTGAAAGATGAAGTTCTGGCTCTGGGAGAAGTCTCCTATCTGACAGAACATCATGCTTCTGTGGGCATGAGATTCTGTGCCCTTCCTCAGCAGACACCACTGACTCAATAATTGTTTAAGAATCATGCATAAATAGGCCTTCCTTATCATGAATCTCTTAAATAACAAAACAGAGAAAACCCATTTATCCACGTTCAAATTGAATAAGAGTGTAAGAAACTTCACAGAAATTGTTATAGAAGGAAACTCTTGGGCTCTGTCCATCTCCAGAAATCTCAAAATTCTGGCACAATCTGTTACAATTAACCTTATCAGAGCTTGAATTTTTTTTTTGCTATATATATTTACCTTTAATTGGACCTTAATTTTGTTATATGTTTTAATTTAATTTTATTTTTTTGATGGAGTCTTGCTGTGTCTCCGAGGCTGTAGTGCACTGGTGTGATCTCAGCTCACTGAAAGCTCCACCTCCTGGGTTCACACCTTTTTCCTGCCTCAGCTTCCCTAGTAGCGGGGACTACAGGCGCCCGCCACCACACCCAGCAATGTTTTTGGACTTTTAGTAGAGACGGGGTTTCACCGTATTAGCCAGGATGGTCTCGATCTCCTGACCTTGTGATCCGCCTGCCTTGACATCCCAAAGTGCTTGGATTACAGGCTTGAGCCATCATGCCCGGCCAAGGATAAACCATTGTTTAACCTTTGTGATAGAAACATCAAATTCCCATATCCCAAGCATTAATAATACTGTCCACTGCAATTGTTATTGCTTATTAACTTTTTGCTATGGTCTGGATATTTGTGTTCCTCACTCTCCACATTCATATTTAAAAACTTAATCCACACGTGGATTCAGTGTGATACTATTAGTTATTGGAACTTTGAGAAAGTTATTAAGTCAGGAGGGCTGCATGTTAACGAGAAAATAATAGTGCCCGTGTGACGGAGGTTGAAAGGAATATTCATGCCCCTTCTGTCGTGTGAAGACATAGCTAGAAGGTGCTACTTGTGAGGAACAGAACCTCACAAGAAAGAGCCTCAGAAAGTTGTTATACAGCAGAACATCTTTCTCTCTTGAGAGATTCTGGCCAACAGTGCTGCATGGTGGACTGTCTTTAGAATGTGAGTTTTTGGTTACCAGAATACTTAGTACTGTTAGGACCTTTCACCAAAGAAATGAGGTCACTTCTTGAAGGTATTATTCTTCTTTCAATAAGACCTATCTTCCTTCAATAAGACCTACTCAAAGGCTTTTCTGCACTGCTGACTGCTCACCATTCTCTCCCAAGTCATCTGATTACTTGTGCACAATTATGCAAATACAGCACCTCCTGCACCAGTGCCGGAGGAAATGGAATGCAGCCAGAGCCACAAGTTTGAGGATACAAGCTGAGTTAAAGTCTTTATGTTTAATGTATTAATTATGTGATGCCAAGTATGTCATTGTGCCTCTCAGGGGCTCCATAGTCTCACAGCCTGCACAGTGGGGATTATGGTGGCATCCAGCTGCAAGGGATCTCATGAGATATGTATAAAATGATACGCATGACTGTTGGGTTTGATATTAAACACAGCTACTGCATAAACTTAGAGAAAGAAACTACAAGGGATGGGACATTGCTTGAATATCTCTCAAACATGCCTGGGTTTTATAACTTGAATCTTGAGAAAGTCATGTCCCCTCTTGAATTTATTTTTCAAACTCCACCATGAAAACATTGAAATTGAATAAAATTTAGATGTTGTTATTCTTTGGCCAGAACAACAACAATAACAACAACACACATTGTAGTACCTTCTCGTTATATTTAGAATCAGGCCCATTTGTCTCACCTTGGCATACGTAGTGCACAGCCTTCATGATGGCTCATAATAATTTTTATTTCCAACTATACACACCCAAATGTAAACAGTAAGTGGTTAGTGACTCACTTCATGGCAGTAGAATACATTGGAAAATAGGGAATGTCACTGCCAATATTTGATTATGAAAAGATTGTCACTTGCTTCTTACTTTCTCTCTCTTGTGATATTGTTTACTTCCTTTTTTCCTGTCTTTCTCTCTGTCTGTCGCATACTTTGCTCTGGAGAAGCGAGCTTCAGTGTTTTAAGCTTTCATTTTTACAGGCTTGTGTGACAGAGAATAGAGAGAGTGCCCTGACCAAAGACAGAAAGAAACTAAGAACTGAGTCAAAACAATAATGCACAACTAACCAGATTGAGCTCAGAAGTGCATCCTTCCCAGTCAAGCTTCAGTTGAGACACAGCTTCAGTCTCATGAGTGAGAGGTGACAGCATGCTGGCAGCCCTCACAGCCCTCGCTCACTCTTGGTGCCTCCTCAGCCTTGGTGCCCACTCTGGCCGCGCTTGAGGAGCCCTTCAGCTCACCGCTGCACTGTGGGAGCCCCTTTCTCAGCAGGCCAATGCCGGAGCCGGCTCCCTTATCTTGCGGGGAGCGGGCAGGAACCGCGGCTGCCCGCGGTGCTTCCGGGCCAGCGCGAGTTCCGGGTGGGCGTGGGCTTGGCGGCCCCGCACTTGGAGCGGCCAGCTGGCCCCGCCAGCCCCAGGCAGTGAGGGGCTTAGCACCTGGGCCAGCAGCTGCTGTGCTCGACTTCTCGCCAGGCCTTAGCTGCCTCCCCACGGGGCAGGGCTCGGGAACTGCAGCCCACCTTGCCTGAGCCTCTCCCCCACTCCTGCCAAGGGCTCCTGTGCGGCCCGAGCCTCCCCAACGAGCTCCACCCCCTGTTCCATGGCACCCAGTCCCATCGACAACCCAAGGGCTGAGGAGTTCGGGAGCACAGCGTGTGACTGGCAGGCAGGCAGCTCCACCTGCGGCCCTGGTGCGGGATCCACTGGGTGAAGCCAGCTGGGCTCCTGAGTCTGGTGGGGACTTGGAGAAACTTTATGTCTAGATAAGGGATTGTAAATACACCAATCGACACTTTGTATCTAGCTCAAGGTTTATAAACACACAAATGAGCACCCCGTGTCTAGCTCAGGGTTTGTAAATACACCAATCAACACTCTGTATCTAGCTAATCTAGTAGAGACGTGGTGAACTTTGTGTCTAGCTCAAGGATTGTAAATGCATCAATCAGCACCCTGTGAAAAGGGACCAATCAGCTCTCTGTAAAACAGACCAATTGGCTCCCTGTAAAATGGACCAATCAGCAGGATGTGGGTGGGGCCAGATAAGAGAATAAAAGCAGCTGCCCGAGCCAGCAGTGGCAACCCTCTCGGGTCCCCATCCACACTGTGGAAGCTTTGTTCTTTCGCTCTTTGCAATAAATCCTGCTGCTGCTCACTCTTTGCGTCCACACTGCCTTTATGAGCTGTAACACTCACCACAAAGGTCTGCAGCTTCACTCCTGAGCCAGAAAGACCACGAACCCACCAGAAGAAAGAAACTCCAAACACATGCTGACATTAGAAGGGAAAAACTCCAGGCACGCTGCCTTTAAGAACTGTAACACTCACCGTGAGGGTCCGCGGCTTCATTCTTGAAGTCAGTGAGACCAAGAACCGACCAATTCCGGACACATGAGGACATTGTGGTAGACCCATTCAACTAAGCTGTGTCAGTATTTGTAGCCAACAGAAAATAAGACATAATGCATATTTGGAATTTTAAGCCACTACACATTGAGCTAATGAGTAGAATTATTTTTTCTAATTTTATTTACTGATTGCCCTTAGTTACTGTATAAAAGTGCAATTTAATATTGTGCATTTATCTTGTATCTTGTGACCTGCTGAACTCATTTATTAGTTCCAGTTGATTTTTGTAAACTCTTTAAAAATTCTTGAATATAAGTTGATGCCATTTACAATAAAAGTTTATTTTATAAATTTAGAAGTTTTATTTGTTTTTATTATATAATTTCTCTGCCTAACACCTTTAGTTCAATTTAGTAGAGTAGCGAAAGTAGCCATGCTTATCTGTTTCCCACAACTGTGAGGCAAAGAGCCTAGTCTTTCATCAGCAAGTGTAATATTAGTGGGAAATTTTTATGAATCCTTTTTAGTAGTTCCAGTAAGTTTTTCCTTCCTAGTATGTTAAGGATTTTATAATGAATCAGTGTTGTTTGTATCACAAGCTTTTCTGTGTCTATTAAAAGGATCATTTTATGTTCTTCACTTTATCAATGTTGTGTATTAAATTATTGGTTTTTAGATATTAAGCCACTTCATTTGTAAAAAGATTGTACTTGGCCATGGTGTATAATTACTTTTACGTGTTTCTGTATTTAACTTATTAGTACTTTTTGAGAATTATGTGTCTTTATTTATCAGCCGTATGTACCCATATTAATCCTAACACATGATGGGTTTGTCTGGCTTTGGTATAGTAATATTGGCCTCATAAAGTAGTTAGGGGTTGTTTATCTCTTATCTATGTATGGTGTGTATTTGTAAAGGATTGGTATTTTTATGAAATATTTTGTATAATTTAACAGTTAAAGTATTTGACTCTGATTTTTCTTTGTGGTAAGATTTTTAAAATAATTTAATCTTTCATTATAGGTCTCATATCTCCCACTTCTTGAGCTTCATTTGTTAAATTGGGCCTATCAAGTTATTTACTTCTAATTTGTAACAATCCATGTTTCCAGATATAGGCAGCTGGTATGCCTGTTATGTGGGATAATGTAGCTTTGTGAAAGTTTTACGTATTATGTGGGATAATGTAGCTTTGTTAAAATCAATAAATAGCCAAGTTTTTACTCAGCTTAAGGATTGAGACTATAATTTTTATACTTCATACTTGCATGTATTGCCTGAGTCAAAAAAGCTATTACATCTAAAAGAAACCAGTGAAACATATCATTTGACATGAAGTTTTATCAAAATGACACATTAGCCTAACCCCTTTTTCACAAATATTTAGAAAAGAAAAGAATAAATTTAAATAAGATTACAAAATAATTTAGTCAATAAAGAATATTATAAGGAATAAAAATTTAATGAATCAGGGTTATTAGTACTTAGTAGCCCCTACAATGTTTTAGAAATTATTCTAAGTCATTTACCCACATATACTTAATAGCTGAGTCTAAAACATATAATACAGAAATTTGTTAATAATGACAAATTGAAATATTTACAATTATATTAAATGACATTAAGACCATCAGAAATCAAATGTTTAACATACAGTAACTAAATAAACACAAGTAATGATAACTTTATTAGAAAGTATGACTACTAGCAAGAGAGAAAAATTAATAAAATTTTTCAGCAGTGAACCAAAGATACACACTGTATGACAGAGGGGGAAAATAAATGGCAAGGGTTTAGGCCTAACAATATCATTCATTTTATGAGAGCAGAAATTCAACAGCTCATATCTTTTAGGACACTAAAATGACAGTAGAAATTCTAAATTGTACTCAACAAGTAATATTTAGCCATGCACAAATTTTGTTTCATTAAATTAATTTATAAAATAAATATAAGATTTCATGAATTATTTTTGTGAGGTCAAGGACATACTAAAAGGAAGCACAGAGTTCTGTTCTCTGTAGTTAAGTATATATTTTCATAAAGGCACATAAAAGAAAATTTTAAGTATCAAAAGAACTACCCCTTACAAGTGACTATTACTACATATTTGAGAGAGATGTTTTGAATGAAGAAACGGAATATCTCATAAGATGTGGTTGTATGCTGCCCAATGCCTATGAAATATTCTACTCATGTGTACACTGCATATTTGTGCTTTCAGAAGAAAAGGCTACATATTTTTAAATATTTTAGTGTAGACAAGTAAAAGTTCTCAAGAAGCTACAAGAACTATGAAAATAATGAATACAGTTTAAAAATATAGAAGCACTTGATGAAAGCTAAAGTAAATCAAGAGAATAAGCCAGAGAAGTAATCAAACTGAAAAAAAGTGGTCCCTTCAGATACTGATAGATCACAAGGATGTCAAGTCTGTATGCTGTCCACCTTCCTCCAAGGGAAAATGGAATAAGCACAGAAATAACATGACTACAGACATCTCAAATGTGATATTTCCCAAATATTGGAACCAAGTTAAAAACTAAAGAACACAAGTAAATAAAAAGAAATTTCTGAAGAAAAACTAGGCCACCATTTTCCATATTCAAATATCATATTTGAATCACAGCTCGGTAGAATGTAAAGAATAAAAAAATTAGGACAAGGTATAGGTGAAACACTAAATTAAACAGAGATAAAAAATTACCTGAGTATTGAATAGAATGAATATAACCAAATATAGTAAAGAGAGATGACATATCATAAGATATAGTTTTAACAAGATAAAGGCTGGGATGAGACGCTAAACATCTTAATTATTTTATTAGAACAAAAAGTATGAATGAGGCAGAGCAAATAAGGCCAGCCAGATCCAAGATTTGGGAAAAGAAAATCTTTCCCTCCATGGAAGCAGCCTCAAGTGTACATTGCAGAGGGCCCAGATCAGAGAGGAATGAGAAGTGGTTGCCATTCTTGCAATCAGTGTTATCCGTTTTCTTGCAGCCCAGGTTTATATAACTGTTCTAAGTCCAGTAAATTGTCTATAGCTGCACATCTATTAAGAGGCTGAGACAGCAGTCAGGACCAACTTTGCTAAATGTCCATAAACTACTCTACCTCATGGAAATTCTCTGGATCTTGGAGACTCTGGAGAGTGACGCTTCTGCAAATAGAGGCATAATTTATTTGAGATTTTTATCCATCTGTTATTATCCTTTACTGTTAGGAATAATCTTCTCTGAAAAATGCTTTTGACCCACCTTGGAAGGTCTTTTAATAGTTTGGGAAAGTGGGGCATGGCAAGGTGGCTCATGCCTGTAATCCCAGCACTTTGGGAGGCTGAGATGGGTGAATCATGAGGTCAGGAGATCCAGACCATCCTGGATAATACGGTGAAACCCTGTCTCTACTAAAAATACAAAAAAGTAGTCGGGCGTGGTGGCAGGTGCCTGTAGTCCCAGCTACTTGGGAGGCTGAGGCAGGAGAATGGCATGAACACGGGAGGTGGAGCTTGCAGTGAGCCGAGATAGCTCCACTGCACTCCAGCCTGAGAGACAGAGCAAGACTCCGTCTCAAAACAAAAAAAAAAAAATTGGGAAAATGGCTGAGGGCTGAGGTTAGAAATCCAAGGTAAAACATTATGTTATATATTTTACATCATAGAAGAAATTTGAGAACACATAGAATACAATCCGCTATTCATAATTTTTTTTGAGCATTTTCAGGCTATGTTTTTGACATAGACTAAGTTGAATTACTGTGCCAGAGACAATCTCGTGTCTAAAAGCAAGTGACATAAAAATAGATCTGCAAAGATACATTTTCTCCCGCTTTAATTTAAGTAAACAGCTGAGTACATCTTCAAGTTGTACTTTGAGTTCAGTAAGATAAATCTGTTTTTTAAGACTCCAAATCTAGCACTAACAATGGGTCAAATCCCTGCAACAGACATGAAAATCACAAACAGCTAATGCGTTCCTCATCCTGAAATTCTCGCTGCCAGCACAGCAGTCTGAAGTTGACCTGGGCCAATTGAGGTCAGTTGGAGGGAGTGGAGTCCACCATTACTGAGGCTTTAGTAGACAGTTTTCCCCTGACGGTGCCAAGGAGGCTGGAAGGTCCGGGTTGGGTGCAGCAAAGTGGCTGTGGCAGACTGCTTCTTTAGAGTCCTCCTCATTGGGCAGGTCATATTTGAAGGAAAGGTAACAGCCCTAGTCAGAGGCTTACACAGAAAACCTCTATCTCCCTGGGACAGAGCACATGGGGGAAGGGGAGGCTGTGGGTGCAGCTTCAGTGGATTTCATCATTCCTGCCTGCTGGCTCTGAAGAGAGCAGCTGATTTTGACTAGAGGGATTCTGCCAGCACAGTGCACCAGCTCTGCTAAGAGACAGACTGTCTCCTCAAGTGGGTTCCCCGTGACTCCTGACTGGGAGAAACCTCCTAACAGGGGTTGACAGACACCTCATACAAAAGGGCTCCAGTTGGCATTGGGCGGGTATCCTCCTGGGATGAAGTTTCCAGAAGAAGGAGAAGGCAGCAATCTTTGCTGTTCTGCAGCCTTTACTGGTGACACCCAGGTGAACAGGGTCTGGATTGGAACTCCAGCAAACTGCACTGGACCTGCAGAAGAACCTTGCTGTTAGAAGAAAAACTAACAAGCAGAAAGCAACAACATCAACATCAACAGAAAGGACCCACCCAAAAAAAACCCCATCCAAATGTCATCAGCCCCAAAGATTGAAAGTAGATAAATCCATGAAGATGAGGAAAAAACAGCACAAAAATGCCAAAAATTCCAGAAACAAGAATGCCTTTTCTCCTCCAAATGATCACAACACCTCTCCAGTAATGACACAAAACTGGATGGAGAATGAGATTGAAGAATTGACAGAAGTAGTCTTCAGAAGGTGGGTAATAATAAACTCCTCTGAGCTAAAGAAGTATGTTCTAACACAATGCAAAGAAGCTAAGTATCTTGATAAAAGGTTATGGGAACTGCTAACTAGAATAACCAGCTTAGAGAGAAACATAAATGGCCTGATGGAGCTAAACAATGCCTTTAAGTTATATGGGACTATGTGAAAAGACCAAACCTACGATTGATTGGTATACCTCAAAGTGACGGGAAGAATGGATCCAAGCTAGAAAACAAACTTTAGGATATTATCCAGGAGAACTTCCTCAACCTAGCAAGACAGGCCAACATTCAAATTCAGGAAATACAGAGAACATCACTAAGATACTCCTCGAGAAGAGCAACTCCAAGACACATAATCGCCAGACTCTCCAAGGTTGAAATGAAGGAAATAATGTTAAGGGCAGACAGAGAGAGAAGTCAGGTTACCTACAAATGGAGGCCCATCAGACTAACAGCAGATCTCTTTGCAGAAACTCTAGAAGCCAGAAGAGAGTGGGGGCCAATATTCAACATTCTTAAATAAAATAATTTTCAACTCAGAATTTCATATCCAGCCAAACTAATCTTCAAAAGCAAAGGGGAAATAAAGTCCTTCACAGACAAGCAAATGCTGAGGGATTATGTCACCACCAGGCATGCCTTACAAAATCTCCTGAAGGAAACACTAAATATGGAAAGGAAAATATGGTTCACCACTGCAAAACCACACCAAAATATAAAGACCAATCGATACTATGAAAAAACTGCATCAACGAATGTGCAAAATAACCAGCTAGCATCATGATAACAGGATCAAATTCACACATAACAATATTAACCATAAATATAAGTGGGCTAAATACCTCAATTAAGAGACAGAGCCTGGCAAATTGGTTAAACAGTCAAGAATCTTTGGTGTGCTATATTCAGGAGACACATCTCACATGCAAAGACACACATAGGCTTAAAATAAAGGGAAGGAGAAATGGCAAATGGAAAGCAAAAAAAGCAACAACAACAACAAAAAAAGCAAGGTTTCAATCCTAGTTTCTTGTAAAACAGACTTTAAACCAAGATGAAAAAAGACAAAGAAGGGCACTACATAAAGGTAAAGGGATCAATGCAACAAGAAGAGCTAACTATCCTATATATATACCTACCCAACAGAGGAGCACTGAGATTCATAAAACAAGTTCTTACAGACCTATAAAGAGACGTAGACTCCCACACAATAACACTGGGAAGTTTTAACACCCCACTGCCAATATTAGACAGATCAATGAGACAGAAAATTAACAAGGATATTCAGGATTTGAAATCAGCTCTGGACTAAGCGGACCTAATAGACAACTACAGAACTCTCCATGCCAGAAGAACAGAATATACATTCTTCTCCATGCCACATAGCACATATTCTAAAATTGACCACATAATTGGAAGCAAAACACTCCTCAACAAATGGAAAAAATGGCAACCATAACAAACTGTCTCTCAGACCACAGTGCAATCAAATCAGAACTCAGGATTAAGAAACTCACTCAAAACCACATAAATACATGGAAATTGAACAACCTGCTCCTGAACGACTACTGAGTAAATGACAAAATTAAGAGAGAAATTAAGTTTTTTTTGAAACAAATGAGAACAAAGAGACAATGTACCAGAATCTCTTGGACACAGCTAAAGCAGTTTTAAGAGGGGATATGCTAGCACTAAATGCCCACAACAGAAAGCTGGAATGATCTGAAATCGACACCCTAACATCACAATTAAAACAACTAGAGAATCAAGAGGAAACAAATTCAAAAACTAGCTGAAGGAAAGAAACAACTAAGATCAGAGCAGAACTGAAGGAGATAGAGACAAGAAAAACTGTTCAAAATCAATGACTCCACTAGCTGGTTTTTTGAAAAGATTAACAAAAGAGACGGACCACTAGCTAGATTAATAAAGAAGAAAAGAAAGAAGAAACAAATAGACACATTAAAAAATGATAAACAGGATATCACCACTGATTCCACAGAAATAAAAACTACCATGAGAGAATACTATAGACATCTCCACACAAATCAACTAGAAAATATAGAAGAAATGGATAAATTTCTGGACACATACACTTTCCCAAGACTAAGCCAGGAAGAAGTTGAATCCCTGAATAGACCAATAAAAAGTTCTGAAATTGAGGCAGTAATTAATAGCCTACCAATAAAAAAACGCTCAGAACCAGATGGATTCACAGCCGAATTTTACCAGAAGCATAAAGAGCAGCTGGTAACATTTCTTCTTAAACTATTCTAAACAATTGAAAAGGAGGGACTCCTCCCTAATTCATTTTATGAGGTCACCATCATAATGATACCAAAACCTCGCAAAGACACAACCGCAACAAAAATTTCAGGCCAATATCCCTCATGAACATCGATGTAAAAATCCTCAATAAAATACTGGCAAACTGAAACCAGCAGCACATCGAAAATG